>NC_000023.11:59533075-59702580 GCF_000001405.40 Homo sapiens
AAAATACCACAAGCTAGACCAGGCACAGTAGCTCATGCCTGTAATCCCAGCACTTTGGGAGGCCGAGGAGCATTCTCAGAAAGTTTTCTGCGATGACTGCATTCAACTCACAGAGTTGAACAATCCTTCTGATGGAGCAGTTTTGAAACCCTCTTTCTTTGGAATCTGCAAGGGGATATGTGGACCTCTTTGAAGATTTCACTGGAAACGGGATCATCTTCACATAAAAACTAAACAGAAGCATTCTCGGAAACTACTTTGTGATGTTTGTATTCAACTCCCAGAGTTGAACTTTCCTTTTGAAAGAGCAGCTATGAAACACTCTTTTTCGAGAATCTGCAAGTGGACGTTTGGAGGGCTTGGAGGCCTGTGGTGGAAAAGGAAATACCTTCACATAAAAACTAGATAGAAGCATTCTCAGAAACTACTTTGTGAGGATGGCATTCAACTCATGGAGTTGAACAATCCTATTGATAGAGCAGATTGGAATCACTCTTTTTGTAGAATCTGCAAATGGAGATTTGGACTGCTTTGAGGCCTACGGTCGTATAGGAAGGAACTTCAGATAAAAGGCAAACGGAAGCATTCTCAGAATATTCTTTGTGATGATGGAGTTTCACTCACAGAGCTGAACATGCCTTTTGATGGAGCAGTTTCCAAATACACTTTTGGTAGAATCTGCAGGTGGATATTTGGACCACTCTGAGGATTTCGTTGGAAACGGGAATAATTTCCCATAACTAAACACAAACACTCTGAGAAAGTTCTTCATGATGAATGCATTTAACTCGCAGAGATGAACCTGCCTTTGAGAGTTCAGGTTCGAAACACTCTTTCTGTATAATCTGCAAGTGGATATTTGGACCACTGGGTGGCCTTCGTTCGAAACGGGTATATGTTCACGTAAAAACTAAAGAGAAGCATTCTCAGAAACTTCTGAGTGATGATTGCATTCAAGTCACACAGTTGAACCCTCCTTTTGATGGAGCAGTTTTGAAACTGTCTTTTTGTAGAATCTGTAAGTGGATACGTGGACCTCTTTGAAGATTTCTTTGGAAACGGGAATATTTCCACAGAAATCTAAACTGAAACATTCTCAGAAACCGCTTTGTGATGTTTGTGTTCCAGCCACAGAGTTTAACATTGCTTTTCATAGAGCAGTTTTGAAATATTCTTTTCGCAGAATCTGCAAGTGGACATTTGGAGCGCTTTCAGGCCTGTGGTGGAAAAGGCCTGAAAGCCTTTTCCTTTATCTTCACAGAAAGACGAGAGAGAAGCATTGTCAGAAACTTCTTTGTGATGATTGCATTCAACTCACAGAGTTGAAGATTCCTTTTGAAACAGCAGTTTTGAAACACTCTTTCTGTGGGATCCGCAAGGGGATATTTGGACCTCTTTGAAGGTTTCGTTGGAAACGGGATAATCTTCACCTAAAAGCTAAACGGAAGCATTCTCAGAAACTTCTTTGGGATGTTTGCATTCACCTCACAGAGTTGAACTTTCCCTTTGATAGCGCAGCTTTGACACACTTTTTCTACAATGTGCAAGTGGCTATTTAGTGGGCTTGGAGGACTGTGTTGGAAAAGGAAATATCTTCTCCTAAAAACGACATAGAAGCATTCTCAGAAACTGCTCTGTGATGATTGCATTCAACTCCCAGAGTTGAACATTCCTTTTGATAGAGCAGTTTGCAAACACTCTTTTTGTAGAATCTGCAAGTGGAGATTTGGACCGCTTTGAGGCCTGTGGTAGTGAAGGAAAGAACTTCATATAAAAACCAGACGGTAGCACTCTCAGAAAATTCTTTGTGACGATGGAGTTTAACTCAGGGAGCTGAACATTCGTTTTGATGGAGCAGTTTCCAAACACACGTTTTGTAGAATCTGCGAGGGGATATTTGGACCTCTCTGAGGATTTCGTTGGAAACGGGATCAACTTCCCATAACTGAACGGAAGCAAACTCAGAACATTCTTTGTGATGTTTGTATTCAATTCACAGAGTTGAACCTTCCTTTGATAGTTCAGGTTTGCAACACCCTTGTAGTAGAATCTGCAAGTGTATATTTTGACCACTTTGTAGCCTTCGTTTGAAACGTCTATATCTTCACATCAAACCTAGACAGAAGCATTCTCAGAAAGTTTTCTGCGATGACTGCATTCAACTCACAGAGTTGAACAATCCTTCTGATGGAGCAGTTTTGAAACCCTCTTTCTTTGGAATCTGCAAGGGGATATGTGGACCTCTTTGAAGATTTCACTGGAAACGGGATCATCTTCACATAAAAACTAAACAGAAGCATTCTCGGAAACTACTTTGTGATGTTTGTATTCAACTCCCAGAGTTGAACTTTCCTTTTGAAAGAGCAGCTATGAAACACTCTTTTTCGAGAATCTGCAAGTGGACGTTTGGAGGGCTTTGAGGCCTGTGGTGGAAAAGGAAATATCTTCACATAAAAACTAGATAGAAGCATTCTCAGAAACGACTTTGTGAGGATGGCATTCAACTCATGGAGTTGAACAATCCTATTGATAGAGCAGATTGGAATCACTCTTTTTGTAGAATCTGCAAATGGAGATTTGCACTGCTTTGAGGCCTACGGTCGTATAGGAAGGAACTTCATATAAAAGGCAAACGGAAGCATTCTCAGAATATTCTTTGTGATGATGGAGTTTCACTCACAGAGCTGAACATGCCTGTTGATGGAGCAGTTTCCAAATACACTTTTGGTAGAATCTGCAGGTGGACATTTGGACCTCTCTGAGGATTTCGTTGGGAACGGGAATAATTTCCCATAACTAAACACAAACACTCTGAGAAAGTTCTTCATGATGAATGCATTTAACTCGCAGAGATGAACCTGCCTTTGAGAGTTCAGGTTCGAAACACTCTTTCTGTAGAATCTGCAAGTGGACATTTGGACCACTGGGTGGCCTTCGTTCGAAACGGGTATATGTTCACGTAAAAACTAAAGAGAAGCATTCTCAGAAACTTCTGAGTGATGATTGCATTCAAGTCACACAGTTGAACCCTCCTTTTGATTGAGCAGTTTTGAAACTGTCTTTTTGTAGAATCTGTAAGTGGATACGTGGACCTCTTTGAAGATTTCTTTGGAAACGGGAATATTTCCACAGAAAAACTAAACTGAAGCATTCTCAGAGACCGCTTTGTGATGTTTGTGTTCGAGCCACAGAGTTTAACATTGCTTTTCATAGAGCAGTTTTGAAATATTCTTTTGGCAGAATCTGCAAGTGGACATTTGGAGCGCTTTCAGGCCTGTGGTGGCAAAGGCCTGAAAGCCTTTTCCTTTATCTTCACAGAAAGACGAGAGAGAAGCATTGTCAGAAACTTCTTTGTGATGATTGCATTCAACTCACAGAGTTGAAGATTCCTTTTGAAACAGCAGTTTCGAACCACTCTTTCTGTGGGATCCGCAAGGGGATATTTGGACCTCTTTGAAGGTTTCGTTGGAAACGGGATAATCCTCACCTAAAAGCTAAACGGAAGCATTCTCAGAAACTTCTTTGAGATGTTTGCATTCACCTCACAGAGTTGAACTTTCCCTTTGATAGCGCAGCTTTGACACACTTTTTCTACAATGTGCAAGTGGCTATTTAGCGGGCTTGGAGGACTGTGTTGGAAAAGGAAATATCTTCTCCTAAAAACGACATAGAAGCATTCTCAGAAACTGCTCTGTGATGATTGCATTCAACTCCCAGAGTTGAACATTCCTTTTGATAGAGCAGTTTGCAAACACTCTTTTTGTAGAATCTGCAAGTGGAGATTTGGACCGCTTTGAGGCCTGTGGTAGTGAAGGAAAGAACTTCATATAAAAACCAGACGGTAGCACTCTCAGAAAATTCTTTGTGACGATGGAGTTTAACTCAGGGAGCTGAACATTCGTTATGATGGAGCAGTTTCCAAACACACGTTTTGTAGAATCTGCGAGGGGATATTTGGACCTCTCTGAGGATTTCGTTGGAAACGGGATCAACTTCCCATAACTGAACGGAAGCAAACTCAGAACATTCTTTGTGATGTTTGTATTCAATTCACAGAGTTGAACCTTCCTTTGATAGTTCAGGTTTGCAACACCCTTGTAGTAGAATCTGCAAGTGTATATTTTGACCACTTTGTAGCCTTCGTTTGAAACGTCTATATCTTCACATCAAACCTAGACAGAAGCATTCTCAGAAAGTTTTCTGCGATGACTGCATTCAACTCACAGAGTTGAACAATCCTTCTGATGGAGCAGTTTTGAAACCCTCTTTCTTTGGAATCTGCAAGGGGATATGTGGACCTCTTTGAAGATTTCACTGGAAACGGGATCATCTTCACATAAAAACTAAACAGAAGCATTCTCGGAAACTACTTTGTGATGTTTGTATTCAACTCCCAGAGTTGAACTTTCCTTTTGAAAGAGCAGCTATGAAACACTCTTTTTCGAGAATCTGCAAGTGGACGTTTGGAGGGCTTTGAGGCCTGTGGTGGAAAAGGAAATATCTTCACACAAACACCAGATAGAAGCATTCTCATAAACTGCTTTGTGAGGATGGCATTCAACTCATGGAGTTCAACAATCCTATTGATAGAGCAGATTGGAATCACTCTTTTTGTAGAATCTGCAAATGGAGATTTGGACTGCTTTGAGGCCTACGGTAGTACAGGAAGGAACTTCATATAAAAGGCAAACGGAAGCATTCTCAGAATATTCTTTGTGATGATGGAGTTTCACTCACAGAGCTGAACATGCCTTTTGATGGAGCAGTTTCCAAATACACTTTTGGTAGAATCTGCAGGTGGATATTTGGAGCTCTCTGAGGATTTCGTTGGAAACGGGAATAATTTCCCATAACTAAACACAAACACTCTGAGAAAGTTCTTCATGATGAATGCATTTAACTCGCAGAGATGAACCTGCCTTTGAGAGTTCAGGTTCGAAACACTCTTTCTGTATAATCTGCAAGTGGATATTTGGACCACTGGGTGGCCTTCGTTCGAAACGGGTATATGTTCACGTAAAAACTAAAGAGAAGCATTCTCAGAAACTTCTGAGTGATGATTGCATTCAAGTCACACAGTTGAACCCTCCTTTTGATGGAGCAGTTTTGAAACTGTCTTTTTGTAGAATCTGTAAGTGGATACGTGGACCTCTTTGAAGATTTCTTTGGAAACGGGAATACTTCCACAGAAAAACTAAACTGAAGCATTCTCAGAAACCGCTTTGTGATGTTTGTGTTCGAGCCGCAGAGTTTAACATTGCTTTTCATAGAGCAGTTTTGAAATATTCTTTTCGCAGAATCTGCAAGTGGACATTTGGAGCGCTTTCAGGCCTGTGGTGGCAAAGGCCTGAAAGCCTTTTCCTTTATCTTCACAGAAAGACGAGAGAGAAGCATTGTCAGAAACTTCTTTGTGATGATTGCATTCAACTCACAGAGTTGAAGATTCCTTTTGAAACAGCAGTTTCGAAACACTCTTTCTGTGGGATCCGCAAGGGGATATTTGGACCTCTTTGAAGGTTTCGTTGGAAACGGGATAATCTTCACCTAAAAGCTAAACGGAAGCATTCTCAGAAACTTCTTTGGGATGTTTGCATTCACCTCACAGAGTTGAACTTTCCCTTTGATAGCGCAGCTTTGACACACTTTTTCTACAATGTGCAAGTGGCTATTTAGCGGGCTTGGAGGACTGTGTTGGAAAAGGAAATATCTTCTCCTAAAAACGACATAGAAGCATTCTCAGAAACTGCTCTGTGATGATTGCATTCAACTCCCAGAGTTGAACATTCCTTTTGATAGAGCAGTTTGCAAACACTCTTTTTGTAGAATCTGCAAGTGGAGATTTGGACTGCTTTGAGGCCTGTGGTAGTGAAGGAAAGAACTTCATATAAAAACCAGACGGTAGCACTCTCAGAAAATTCTTTGTGACGATGGAGTTTAACTCAGGGAGCTGAACATTCGTTATGATGGAGCAGTTTCCAAACACACGTTTTGTAGAATCTGCAAGGGGATATTTGGACCTCTCTGAGGATTTCGTTGGAAACGGGATCAACTTCCCATAACTGAACGGAAGCAAACTCAGAACATTCTTTGTGATGTTTGTATTCAACTCACAGAGTTGAACCTTCCTTTGATAGTTCAGGTTTGCATCACCCTTGTAGTAGAATCTGCAAGTGTATATGTTGACCACTATGTAGCCTTCGTTTGAAACGTCTATATCTTCACATCAAACCTAGACAGAAGCATTCTCAGAAAGTTTTCTGCGATGACTGCATTCAACTCACAGAGTTGAACAATCCTTTTGATGGAGCAGTTTTGAAACCCTCTTTCTTTGGAATCTGCAAGGGGATATGTGGACCTCTTTGAAGATTTCACTGGAAACGGGATCATCTTCACATAAGAACTAAACAGAAGCATTCTCGGAAACTACTTTGTGATGTTTGTATTCAACTCCCAGAGTTGAACTTTCCTTTTGAAAGAGCAGCTATGAAACACTCTTTTTCGAGAATCTGCAAGTGGACGTTTGGAGGGCTTTGAGGCCTGTGGTGGAAAAGGAAATATCTTCACATAAAAACTAGATAGAAGCATTCTCAGAAACTACTTTGTGAGGACGGCATTCAACTCATGGAGTTGAACAGTCCTATTGATAGAGCAGATTGGAATCACTCTTTTTGTAGAATCTGCAAATGGAGATTTGGAATGCTTTGAGGCCTACGGTAGTATAGGAAGTAACTTCATATAAAAGGCAAATGGAAGCATTCTCAGAATATTCTTTGTGATGATGGAGTTTCACTCACAGAGCTGAACATGCCTTTTGATGGAGCAGTTTCCAAATACACTTTTGGTAGAATCTGCAGGTGGATATTTGGACCTCTCTGAGGATTTCGTTGGAAACGGGAATAATTTCCCATAACTAAACACAAACACGCTGAGAAAGTTCTTCATGATGAATGCATTTAACTCGCAGAGATGAACCTGCCTTTGAGAGTTCAGGTTCGAAACACTCTTTCTGTAGAATCTGCAAGTGGATATTTGGACCACTGGGTGCCCTTCGTTCGAAACGGGTATATGTTCACGTAAAAACTAAAGAGAAGCGTTCTCAGAAACTTCTGAGTGATGATTGCATTCAAGTCACACAGTTGAACCCTCGTTTTGATTGAGCAGTTTTGAAACTGTCTTTTTGTAGAATCTGTAAGTGGATGCGTGGACCTCTTTGAAGATTTCTTTGGAAACGGGAATATTTCCACAGAAAAACTAAACTGAAGCATTCTCAGAAACTGCTTTGTGATGTTTGTGTTCGAGCCACAGAGTTTAACATTGCTTTTCATAGAGCAGTTTTGAAATATTCTTTTGGCAGAATCTGCAAGTGGACATTTGGAGCGCTTTCAGGCCTGTGGTGGAAAAGGCCTGAAAGCCTTTTCCTTTATCTTCACAGAAAGACGAGAGAGAAGCATTGTCAGAAACTTCTTTGTGATGATTGCATTCAACTCACAGAGTTGAAGATTCCTTTTGAAACAGCAGTTTCGAAACACTCTTTCTGTGGGATCCGCAAGGGGATATTTGGACCTCTTTGAAGATTTCGTTGGAAACGGGATAATCTTCACCTAAAAGCTAAACGGAAGCATTCTCAGAAACTTCTTTGGGATGTTTGCATTCACCTCACAGAGTTGAACTTTCCCTTTGATAGCGCAGCTTCGACACACTTTTTCTACAATGTGCAAGTGGATATTTAGCGGGCTTGGAGGACTGTGTTGGAAAAGGAAATATCTTCTCCTAAAAACGACATAGAAGCATTCTCAGAAACTGCTCTGTGATGATTGCATTCAACTCCCAGAGTTGAACATTCCTTTTGATAGAGCAGTTTGCAAACACTCTTTTTGTAGAATCTGCAAGTGGAGATTTGGACCGCTTTGAGGCCTGTGGTAGTAAAGGAAAGAACTTCCTATAAAAACTAGACGGTAGCACTCTCAGAAAATTCTTTGTGACGATGGAGTTTAACTCAGAGAGCTGAACATTCGTTATGATGGAGCAGTTTCCAAACACACGTTTTGTAGAATCTGCAAGGGGATATTTGGACCTCTCTGAGGATTTCGTTGGAAACGGGATCAACTTCCCATAACTGAACGGAAGCAAACTCAGAACATTCTTTGTGATGTTTGAATTCAACTCACAGAGTTGAACCTTCCTTTGATAGTTCAGGTTTGCATCACCCTTGTAGTAGAATCTGCAAGTGTATATTTTGACCACTTTGTAGCCTTCGTTTGAAACGTCTATGTCTTCACATCAAACCTAGACAGAAGCATTCTAAGAAAGTTTTCTGCGATGACTGCATTCAACTCACAGAGTTGAACAATCCTTTTGATGGAGCAGTTTTGAAACCCTCTTTCTTTGGAATCTGCAAGGGGATATGTGGACCTCTTTGAAGATTTCACTTGAAACGGGATCATCTTCACATAAGAACTAAACAGAAGCATTCTCAGAAACTACTTTGTGATGTTTGTATTCACCTCCCAGAGTTGAACTTTCCTTTTGAAAGAGCAGCTATGAAACACCCTTTTTCGAGAATCTGCAAGTGGACGTTTGGAGGGCTTTGAGGCCTGTGGGGGAAAAGGAAATATCTTCACATAAAAACTAGATAGAAGCATTCTCAGAAACGACTTTGTGAGGATGGCATTCAACTCATGGAGTTGAACAGTCCTATTGATAGAGCAGATTGGAATCACTTTTTTTGTAGAATCTGCAAATGGAGATTTGGACTGCTTTGAGGCCTACGGTAGTATAGGAAGGAACTTCATATAAAAGGCAAACGGAAGCATTCTCAGAATATTCTTTGTGATGATGGAGTTTCACTCACAGAGCTGAACATGCCTTTTGATGGAGCAGTTTCCAAATACACTTTTGGTAGAATCTGCAGGTGGATATTTGGAGCTCTCTGAGGATTTCGTTGGAAACGGGAATAATTTCCCATAACTAAACACAAACACGCTGAGAAAGTTCTTCATGATGAATGCATTTAACTCGCAGAGATGAACCTGCCTTTGAGAGTTCAGGTTCGAAACACTCTTTCTGTAGAATCTGCAAGTGGATATTTGGACCACTGGCTGGCCTTCGTTCGAAACGGGTATATGTTCACGTAAAAACTAAAGAGAAGCGTTCTCAGAAACTTCTGAGTGATGATTGCATTCAAGTCACACAGTTGAACCCTCCTTTTGATTGAGCAGTTTTGAAACTGTCTTTTTGTAGAATCTGTAAGTGGATGCGTGGACCTCTTTGAAGATTTCTTTGGAAACGGGAATATTTCCACAGAAAAACTTAACCGAAGCATTCTCAGAAACTGCTTTGTGATGTTTGTGTTCGAGCCGCAGAGTTTAACATTGCTTTTCATAGAGCAGTTTTGAAATATTCTTTTGGCAGAATCTGCAAGTGGACATTTGGAGCGCTTTCAGGCCTGTGGTGGAAAAGGCCTGAAAGCCTTTTCCTTTATCTTCACAGAAAGACGAGAGAGAAGCATTGTCAGAAACTTCTTTGTGATGATTGCATTCAACTCACAGAGTTGAAGATTCCTTTTGAAACAGCAGTTTCGAAACACTCTTTCTGTGGGATCCGCAAGGGGATATTTGGACCTCTTTGAAGGTTTCGTTGGAAACGGGATAATCTTCACCTAAAAGCTAAACGGAAGCATTCTCAGAAACTTCTTTGGGATGTTTGCATTCACCTCACAGAGTTGAACTTTCCCTTTGATAGCGCAGCTTTGACACACTTTTTCTACAATGTGCAAGTGGCTATTTAGCGGGCTTGGAGGACTGTGTTGGAAAAGGAAATATCTTCTCCTAAAAACGACATAGAAGCATTCTCAGAAACTGCTCTGTGATGATTGCATTCAACTCCCAGAGTTGAACATTCCTTTTGATAGAGCAGTTTGCAAACACTCTTTTTGTAGAATCTGCAAGTGGAGATTTGGACCGCTTTGAGGCCTGTGGTAGTGAAGGAAAGAGCTTCATATAAAAACCAGACGGTAGCACTCTCAGAAAATTCTTTGTGACGATGGAGTTTAACTCAGGGAGCTGAACATTCGTTATGATGGAGCAGTTTCCAAACACACGTTTTGTAGAATCTGCAAGGGGATATTTGGACCTCTCTGAGGATTTCGTTGGAAACGGGATCAACTTCCCATAACTGAACGGAAGCAAACTCAGAACATTCTTTTTGATGTTTGTATTCAACTCACAGAGTTGAACCTTCCTTTGATAGTTCAGGTTTGCAACACCCTTGTAGTAGAATCTGCAAGTGTATATTTTGACCACTTTGTAGCCTTCGTTTGAAACGTCTATATCTTCACATCAAACCTAGACAGAAGCATTCTCAGAAAGTTTTCTGCGATGACTGCATTCAACTCACAGAGTTGAACAATCCTTCTGATGGAGCAGTTTTGAAACCCTCTTTCTTTGGAATCTGCAAGGGGATATGTGGACCTCTTTGAAGATTTCACTGGAAACGGGATCATCTTCACATAAAAACTAAACAGAAGCATTCTCGGAAACTACTTTGTGATGTTTGTATTCAACTCCCAGAGTTGAACTTTCCTTTTGAAAGAGCAGCTATGAAACACTCTTTTTCGAGAATCTGCAAGTGGACGTTTGGAGGGCTTTGAGGCCTGTGGTGGAAAAGGAAATATCTTCACATAAAAACTAGATAGAAGCATTCTCAGAAACGACTTTGTGAGGATGGCATTCAACTCATGGAGTTGAACAATCCTATTGATAGAGCAGATTGGAATCACTCTTTTTGTAGAATCTGCAAATGGAGATTTGGACTGCTTTGAGGCCTACGGTAGTACAGGAAGGAACTTCATATAAAAGGCAAACGGAAGCATTCTCAGAATATTCTTTGTGATGATGGAGTTTCACTGACAGAGCTGAACATGCCTTTTGATGGAGCAGTTTCCAAATACACTTTTGGTAGAATCTGCAGGTGGATATTTGGAGCTCTCTGAGGATTTCGTTGGAAACGGGAATAATTTCCCATAACTAAACACAAACACTCTGAGAAAGTTCTTCATGATGAATGCATTTAACTCGCAGAGATGAACCTGCCTTTGAGAGTTCAGGTTCGAAACACTCTTTCTGTATAATCTGCAAGTGGATATTTGGACCACTGGGTGGCCTTCGTTCGAAACGGGTATATGTTCACGTAAAAACTAAAGAGAAGCATTCTCAGAAACTTCTGAGTGATGATTGCATTCAAGTCACACAGTTGAACCCTCCTTTTGATGGAGCAGTTTTGAAACTGTCTTTTTGTAGAATCTGTAAGTGGATACGTGGACCTCTTTGAAGATTTCTTTGGAAACGGGAATATTTCCACAGAAAAACTAAACTGAAACATTCTCAGAAACCGCTTTGTGATGTTTGTGTTCCAGCCACAGAGTTTAACATTGCTTTTCATAGAGCAGTTTTGAAATATTCTTTTCGCAGAATCTGCAAGTGGACATTTGGAGCGCTTTCAGGCCTGTGGTGGAAAAGGCCTGAAAGCCTTTTCCTTTATCTTCACAGAAAGACGAGAGAGAAGCATTGTCAGAAACTTCTTTGTGATGATTGCATTCAACTCACAGAGTTGAAGATTCCTTTTGAAACAGCAGTTTCGAAACACTCTTTCTGTGGGATCCGCAAGGGGATATTTGGACCTCTTTGAAGGTTTCGTTGGAAACGGGATAATCTTCACCTAAAAGCTAAACGGAAGCATTCTCAGAAACTTCTTTGGGATGTTTGCATTCACCTCACAGAGTTGAACTTTCCCTTTGATAGCGCAGCTTTGACACACTTTTTCTTCAATGTGCAAGTGGCTATTTAGCGGGCTTGGAGGACTGTGTTGGAAAAGGAAATATCTTCTCCTAAAAACGACATAGAAGCATTCTCAGAAACTGCTCTGTGATGATTGCATTCAACTCCCAGAGTTGAACATTCCTTTTGATAGAGCAGTTTGCAAACACTCTTTTTGTAGAATCTGCAAGTGGAGATTTGGACCGCTTTGAGGCCTGTGGTAGTGAAGGAAAGAACTTCATATAAAAACCAGACGGTAGCACTCTCAGAAAATTCTTTGTGACGATGGAGTTTAACTCAGGGAGCTGAACATTCGTTATGATGGAGCAGTTTCCAAACACACGTTTTGTAGAATCTGCGAGGGGATATTTGGACCTCTCTGAGGATTTCGTTGGAAACGGGATCAACTTCCCATAACTGAACGGAAGCAAACTCAGAACATTCTTTGTTATGTTTGTATTCAACTCACAGAGTTGAACCTTCCTTTGATAGTTCAGGTTTGCAAAACCCTTGTAGTAGAATCTGCAAGTGTATATTTTGACCACTTTGTAGCCTTCGTTTGAAACGTCTATATCTTCACATCAAACCTAGACAGAAGCATTCTCAGAAAGTTTTCTGCGATGACTGCATTCAACTCACAGAGTTGAACAATCCTTTTGATGGAGCAGTTTTGAAACCCTCTTTCTTTGGAATCTGCAAGGGGATATGTGGACCTCTTTGAAGATTTCACTGGAAACGGGATCATCTTCACATAAAAACTAAACAGAAGCATTCTCGGAAACTATTTTGTGATGTTTGTATTCAACTCCCAGAGTTGAACTTTCCTTTTGAAAGAGCAGCTATGAAACACTCTTTTTCGAGAATCTGCAAGTGGACGTTTGGAGGGCTTTGAGGCCTGTGGTGGAAAAGGAAATATCTTCACACAAAAACCAGATAGAAGCATTCTCAGAAACTACTTTGTGAGGATGGCATTCAACTCATGGAGTTGAACAATCCTATTGATAGAGCAGATTGGAATCACTCTTTTTGTAGAATCTGCAAATGGAGATTTGGACTGCTTTGAGGCCTACGGTAGTACAGGAAGGAACTTCATATAAAAGGCAAACGGAAGCATTCTCAGAATATTCTTTGTGATGATGGAGTTTCACTCACAGAGCTGAACATGCCTTTTGATGGAGCAGTTTCCAAATACACTTTTGGTAGAATCTGCAGGTGGATATTTGGACCACTCTGAGGATTTCGTTGGAAACGGGAATAATTTCCCATAACTAAACACAAACACTCTGAGAAAGTTCTTCATGATGAATGCATTTAACTCGCAGAGATGAACCTGCCTTTGAGAGTTCAGGTTCGAAACACTCTTTCTGTATAATCTGCAAGTGGATATTTGGACCACTGGGTGGCCTTCGTTCGAAACGGGTATATGTTCACGTAAAAACTAAAGAGAAGCATTCTCAGAAACTTCTGAGTGATGATTGCATTCAAGTCACACAGTTGAACCCTCCTTTTGATGGAGCAGTTTTGAAACTGTCTTTTTGTAGAATCTGTAAGTGGATACGTGGACCCCCTTTGAAGATTTCTTTGGAAACGGGAATATTTCCACAGAAAAACTAAACTGAAGCATTCTCAGAAACTGCTTTGTGATGTTTGTGTTCGAGCCACAGTAGTTTAACATTGCTTTTCATAGAGCAGTTTTGAAATATTCTTTTGGCAGAATCTGCAAGTGGACATTTGGAGCGCTTTCAGGCCTGTGGTGGAAAAGGCCTGAAAGCCTTTTCCTTTATCTTCACAGAAAGACGAGAGAGAAGCATTGTCAGAAACTTCTTTGTGATGATTGCATTCAACTCACAGAGTTGAAGATTCCTTTTGAAACAGCAGTTTCGAAACACTCTTTCTGTGGGATCCGCAAGGGGATATTTGGACCTCTTTGAAGGTTTCGTTGGAAACGGGATAATCTTCACCTAAAAGCTAAACGGAAGCATTCTCAGAAACTTCTTTGGGATGTTTGCATTCACCTCACAGAGTTGAACTTTCCCTTTGATAGCGCAGCTTCGACACACTTTTTCTACAATGTGCAAGTGGCTATTTAGCGGGCTTGGAGGACTGTGTTGGAAAAGGAAATATCTTCTCCTAAAAACGACATAGAAGCATTCTCAGAAACTGCTCTGTGATGATTGCATTCAACTCCCAGAGTTGAACATTCCTTTTGATAGAGCAGTTTGCAAACACTCTTTTTGTAGAATCTGCAAGTGGAGATTTGGACCGCTTTGAGGCCTGTGGTAGTGAAGGAAAGAACTTCATATAAAAACCAGACGGTAGCACTCTCAGAAAATTCTTTGTGACGATGGAGTTTAACTCAGGGAGCTGAACATTCGTTATGATGGAGCAGTTTCCAAACACACGTTTTGTAGAATCTGCAAGGGGATATTTGGACCTCTCTGAGGATTTCGTTGGAAACGGGATCAACTTCCCATAACTGAACGGAAGCAAACTCAGAACATTCTTTGTGATGTTTGTATTCAACTCACAGAGTTGAACCTTCCTTTGATAGTTCAGGTTTGCAACACCCTTGTAGTAGAATCTGCAAGTGTATATTTTGACCACTTTGTAGCCTTCGTTTGAAACGTCTATATCTTCACATCAAACCTAGACAGGAAGCATTCTCAGCAAAGTTTTCTGCGATGACTGCATTCAACTCACAGAGTTGAACAATCCTTTTGATGGAGCAGTTTTGAAACCCTCTTTCTTTGGAATCTGCAAGGGGATATGTGGACCTCTTTCAAGATTTCACTGGAAACGGGATCATCTTCACATAAGAACTAAACAGAAGCATTCTCGGAAACTACTTTGTGATGTTTGTATTCAACTCCCAGAGTTGAACTTTCCTTTTGAAAGAGCAGCTATGAAACACTCTTTTTCGAGAATCTGCAAGTGGACGTTTGGAGGGCTTTGAGGCCTGTGGTGGAAAAGGAAATATCTTCACATAAAAACTACATAGGAGCATTCTCAGAAACGACTTTGTGAGGATGGCATTCAACTCATGGAGTTGAACAGTCCTATTGATAGAGCAGATTGGAATCACTCTTTTTGTAGAATCTGCAAATGGAGATTTGGACTGCTTTGAGGCCTACGGTCGTATAGGAAGGAACTTCATATAAAAGGCAAACGGAAGCATTCTCAGAATATTCTTTGTGATGATGGAGTTTCACTCACAGAGCTGAACATGCCTTTTGATGGAGCAGTTTCCAAATACACTTTTGGTAGAATCTGCAGGTGGATATTTGGATCTCTCTGAGGATTTCTTTGGAAACGGGAATAATTTCCCATAACTAAACACAAACACGCTGAGAAAGTTCTTCATGATGAATGCATTTAACTCGCAGAGATGAACCTGCCTTTGAGAGTTCAGGTTCGAAACACTCTTTCTGTAGAATCTGCAAGTGGATATTTGGACCACTGGCTGGCCTTCGTTCGAAACGGGTATATGTTCACGTAAAAACTAAAGAGAAGCGTTCTCAGAAACTTCTGAGTGATGATTGCATTCAAGTCACACAGTTGAACCCTCCTTTTGATTGAGCAGTTTTGAAACTGTCTTTTTGTAGAATCTGTAAGTGAATGCGTGGACCTCTTTGAAGATTTCTTTGGAAACGGGAATATTTCCACAGAAAAACTAAACTGAAGCATTCTCAGAAACTGCTTTGTGATGTTTGTGTTCGAGCCACAGAGTTTAACATTGCTTTTCATAGAGCAGTTTTGAAATATTCTTTTGGCAGAATCTGCAAGTGGACATTTGGAGCGCTTTCAGGCCTGTGGTGGAAAAGGCCTGAAAGCCTTTTCCTTTATCTTCACAGAAAGACGAGAGAGAAACATTGTCAGAAACTTCTTTGTGATGATTGCATTCAACTCACAGAGTTGAAGATTCCTTTTGAAACAGCAGTTTCGAAACACTCTTTCTGTGGGATCCGCAAGGGGATATTTGGACCTCTTTGAAGATTTCGTTGCAAACGGGATAATCTTCACCTAAAAGCTAAACGGAAGCATTCTCAGAAACTTCTTTGGGATGTTTGCATTCACCACACAGAGTTGAACTTTCCCTTTGATAGCGCAGCTTCGACACACTTTTTCTAAAGTGTGCAAGTGGACATTTAGCGGGCTTGGAGGACTGTGTTGGAAAAGGAAATATCTTCTCCTAAAAACGACATAGAAGCATTCTCAGAAACTGCTCTGTGATGATTGCATTCAACTCCCAGAGTTGAACATTCCTTTTGATAGAGCAGTTTGCAAACACTGTTTTTGTAGAATCTGCAAGTGGAGATTTGGACCGCTTTGAGGCCTGTGGTAGTAAAGGAAAGAACTTCATATAAAAACCAGACGGTAGCACTCTCAGAAAATTCTTTGTGACGATGGAGTTAAACTCAGAGAGCTGAACATTCTTTATGATGGAGCAGTTTCCAAACACACGTTTTGTAGAATCTGCAAGGGGATATTTGGACCTCTCTGAGGATTTCGTTGGAAATGGGATCAACTTCCCATAACTGAACGGAAGCAAACTCAGAACATTCTTTGTGATGTTTGTATTCAACTCACAGAGTTGAACCTTCCTTTGATAGTTGAGGTTTGCAACACCCTTGTAGTAGAATCTGCAAGTGTATATTTTGACCACTTTGTAGCCTTCGTTTGAAACGTCTATATCTTCACCTCAAACCTAGACAGAAGCATTCTCAGAAAGTTTTCTGCGATGACTGCATTCAACTCACAGAGTTGAACAATCCTTTTGATGGAGCAGTTTTGAAACCCTCTTTCTTTGGAATCTGCAAGGGGATATGTGGACCTCTTTGAAGATTTCACTGGAAACGGGATCATCTTCACATAAGAACTAAACAGAAGCATTCTCGGAAACTACTTTGTGATGTTTGTATTCAACTCCCAGAGTTGAACTTTCCTTTTGAAAGAGCAGCTATGAAACACTCTTTTTCGAGAATCTGCAAGTGGCCGTTTGGAGGGCTTTGAGGCCTGTGGTGGAAAAGGAAATATCTTCACATAAAAACTAGATAGAAGCATTCTCAGAAACGACTTTGTGAGGATGGCATTCAACTCATGGAGTTGAACAATCCTATTGATAGAGCAGATTGGAATCACTCTTTTTGTAGAATCTGCAAATGGAGATTTGGACTGCTTTGAGGCCTACGGTCGTATAGGAAGGAACTTCATATAAAAGGCAAACGGAAGCATTCTCAGAATATTCTTTGTGATGATGGAGTTTCACTCACAGAGCTGAACATGCCTTTTGATGGAGCAGTTTCCAAATACACTTTTGGTAGAATCTGCAGGTGGATATTTGGAGCTCTCTGAGGATTTCGTTGGAAACGGGAATAATTTCCCATAACTAAACACAAACACTCTGAGAAAGTTCTTCATGATGAATGCATTTAACTCGCAGAGATGAACCTGCCTTTGAGAGTTCAGGTTCGAAACACTCTTTCTGTAGAATCTGCAAGTGGATATTTGGACCACTGGGTGGCCTTCGTTCGAAACGGGTATATGTTCACGTAAAAACTAAAGAGAAGCATTCTCAGAAACTTCTGAGTGATGATTGCATTCAAGTCACACAGTTGAACCCTCCTTTTGATGGAGCAGTTTTGAAACTGTCTTTTTGTAGAATCTGTAAGTGGATACGTGGACCTCTTTGAAGATTTCTTTGGAAACGGGAATATTTCCACAGAAAAACTAAACTGAAGCATTCTCAGAAACCGCTTTGTGATGTTTGTGTTCGAGCCACAGAGTTTAACATTGCGTTTCATAGAGCAGTTTTGAAATATTCTTTTGGCAGAATCTGCAAGTGGACATTTGGAGCGCTTTCAGGCCTGTGGTGGAAAAGGCCTGAAAGCCTTTTCCTTTATCTTCACAGAAAGACGAGAGAGAAGCATTGTCAGAAACTTCTTTGTGATGATTGCATTCAACTCACAGAGTTGAAGATTCCTTTTGAAACAGCAGTTTCGAAACACTCTTTCTGTGGGATCCGCAAGGGGATATTTGGACCTCTTTGAAGGTTTCGTTGGAAACGGGATAATCTTCACCTAAAAGCTAAACGGAAGCATTCTCAGAAACTTCTTTGGGATGTTTGCATTCACCTCACAGAGTTGAACTTTCCCTTTGATAGCGCAGCTTTGACACACGTTTTCTACAATGTGCAAGTGGCTATTTAGCGGGCTTGGAGGACTGTGTTGGAAAAGGAAATATCTTCTCCTAAAAACGACATAGAAGCATTCTCAGAAACTGCTCTGTGATGATTGCATTCAACTCCCAGAGTTGAACATTCCTTTTGATAGAGCAGTTTGCAAACACTCTTTTTGTAGAATCTGCAAGTGGAGATTTGGACCGCTTTGAGGCCTGTGGTAGTGAAGGAAAGAGCTTCATATAAAAACCAGACGGTAGCACTCTCAGAAAATTCTTTGTGACGATGGAGTTTAACTCAGGGAGCTGAACATTCGTTATGATGGAGCAGTTTCCAAACACACGTTTTGTAGAATCTGCAAGGGGATATTTGGACCTCTCTGAGGATTTCGTTGGAAACGGGATCAACTTCCCATAACTGAACGGAAGCAAACTCAGAACATTCTTTGTGATGTTTGTATTCAACTCACAGAGTTGAACCTTCCTTTGATAGTTCAGGTTTGCAACACCCTTGTAGTAGAATCTGCAAGTGTATATTTTGACCACTTTGTAGCCTTCGTTTGAAACGTCTATATCTTCACATCAAACCTAGACAGAAGCATTCTCAGAAAGTTTTCTGCGATGACTGCATTCAACTCACAGAGTTGAACAATCCTTTTGATGGAGCAGTTTTGAAACCCTCTTTCTTTGGAATCTGCAAGGGGATATGTGGACCTCTTTGAAGATTTCACTGGAAACGGGATCATCTTCACATAAGAACTAAACAGAAGCATTCTCGGAAACTACTTTGTGATGTTTGTATTCAACTCCCAGAGTTGAACTTTCCTTTTGAAAGAGCAGCTATGAAACACTCTTTTTCGAGAATCTGCAAGTGGACGTTTGGAGGGCTTTGAGGCCTGTGGTGGAAAAGGAAATATCTTCACATAAAAACTAGATAGAAGCATTCTCAGAAACGACTTTGTGAGGATGGCGTTCAACTCATGGAGTTGAACAATCCTGTTGATAGAGCAGATTGGAATCACTCTTTTTGTAGAATCTGCAAATGGAGATTTGGACTGCTTTGAGGCCTACGGTAGTATAGGAAGGAACTTCATATAAAAGGCAAACGGAAGCATTCTCAGAATATTCTTTGTGATGATGGAGTTTCACTCACAGAGCTGAACATGCCTTTTGATGGAGCAGTTTCCAAATACACTTTTGGTAGAATCTGCAGGTGGATATTTGGAGCTCTCTGAGGCTTTCGTTGGAAACGGGAATAATTTCCCATAACTAAACACAAACACGCTGAGAAAGTTCTTCATGATGAATGCATTGAACTCGCAGAGATGAACCTGCCTTTGAGAGTTCAGGTTCGAAACACTCTTTCTGTAGAATCTGCAAGTGGATATTTGGACCACTGGGTGGCCTTCGTTCGAAACGGGTATATGTTCACGTAAAAACTAAAGAGAAGCGTTCTCAGAAACTTCTGAGTGATGATTGCACTCAAGTCACACGGTTGAACCCTCCTTATGATTGAGCAGTTTTGAAACTGTCTTTTTGTAGAATCTGTAAGTGGATGCGTGGACCTCTTTGAAGATTTCTTTCGAAACGGGAATATTTCCACAGAAAAACTAAACTGAAGCATTCTCAGAAACTGCTTTGTGATGTTTGTGTTCGAGCCACAGAGTTTAACATTGCTTTTCATAGAGCAGTTTTGAAATATTCTTTTGGCAGAATCTGCAAGTGGACATTTGGAGCGCTTTCAGGCCTGTGGTGGAAAAGGCCTGAAAGCCTTTTCCTTTATCTTCACAGAAAGACGAGAGAGAAGCATTGTCAGAAACTTCTTTGTGATGATTGCATTCAACTCACAGAGTTGAAGATTCCTTTTGAAACAGCAGTTTCGAAACACTCTTTCTGTGGGATCCGCAAGGGGATATTTGGACCTCTTTGAAGCTTTCGTTGGAAACGGGATAATCTTCACCTAAAAGCTAAACGGAAGCACTCTCAGAAACTTCTTTGGGATGTTTGCATTCACCTCACAGAGTTGAACTTTCCCTTTGATAGCGCAGCTTTGACACACTTTTTCTACAATGTGCAAGTGGATATTTAGCGGGCGTGGAGGACTGTGTTGGAAAAGGAAATATCTTCTCCTAAAAACGACATAGAAGCATTCTCAGAAACTGCTCTGTGATGATTGCATTCAACTCCCAGGGTTGAACATTCCTTTTGATAGAGCAGTTTGCAAACACTCTTTTTGTAGAATCTGCAAGTGGAGATTTGGACCGCTTTGAGGCCTATGGTAGTAAAGGAAAGAACTTCATATAAAAACCAGACGGTAGCACTCTCAGAAAATTCTTTGTGACGATGGAGTTTAACTCAGGGAGCTGAACATTCGTTATGATGGAGCAGTTTCCAAACACACGTTTTGTAGAATCTGCAAGGGGATATTTGGACCTCTCTGAGGATTTCGCTGGAAACGGGATCAACTTCCCATAACTGAACGGAAGCAAACTCAGAACATTCTTTGTGATGTTTGTATTCAACTCACAGAGTTGAACCTTCCTTTGATAGTTCAGGTTTGCAACACCCTTGTAGTAGAATCTGCAAGTGTATATTTTGACCACTTTGTAGCCTTCGTTTGAAACGTCTATATCTTCACATCAAACCTAGACAGAAGCATTCTCAGAAAGTTTTCTGCGATGACTGCATTCAACTCACAGAGTTGAACAATCCTTTTGATGGAGCAGTTTTGAAACCCTCTTTCTTTGGAATCTGCAAGGGGATATGTGGACCTCTTTGAAGATTTCACTGGAAACGGGATCATCTTCACATAAAAACTAAACAGAAGCAATCTCGGAAACTATTTTGTGATGTTTGTATTCAACTCCCAGAGTTGAACTTTCCTTTTGAAAGAGCAGCTATGAAACACTCTTTTTCGAGAATCTGCAAGTGGACGTTTGGAGGGCTTTGAGGCCTGTGGTGGAAAAGGAAATATCTTCACACAAAAACCAGATAGAAGCATTCTCAGAAACTACTTTGTGAGGATGGCATTCAACTCATGGAGTTGAACAATCCTATTGATAGAGCAGATTGGAATCACTCTTTTGTAGAATCTGCAAATGGAGATTTGGACTGCTTTGAGGCCTACGGTCGTATAGGAAGGAACTTCATATAAAAGGCAAACGGAAGCATTCTCAGAATATTCTTTGTGATGATGGAGTTTCACTCACAGAGCTGAACATGCCTTTTGATGGAGCAGTTTCCAAATACACTTTTGGTAGAATCTGCAGGTGGATATTTGGAGCTCTCTGAGGATTTCGTTGGAAACGGGAATAATTTCCCATAACTAAACACAAACACTCTGAGAAAGTTCTTCATGATGAATGCATTTAACTCGCAGAGATGAACCTGCCTTTGAGAGTTCAGGTTCGAAACACTCTTTCTGTAGAATCTGCAAGTGGATATTTGGACCACTGGGTGGCCTTCGTTCGAAACGGGTATATGTTCACGTAAAAACTAAAGAGAAGCATTCTCAGAAACTTCTGAGTGATGATTGCATTCAAGTCACACAGTTGAACCCTCCTTTTGATGGAGCAGTTTTGAAACTGTCTTTTTGTAGAATCTGTAAGTGGATACGTGGACCTCTTTGAAGATTTCTTTCGAAACGGGAGTATTTCCACAGAAAATCTAAACTGAAGCATTCTCAGAAACTGCTTTGTGATGTTTGTGTTCGAGCCACAGAGTTTAACATTGCTTTTCATAGAGCAGTTTTGAAATATTCTTTTGGCAGAATCTGCAAGTGGACATTTGGAGCGCTTTCAGGCCTGTGGTGGAAAAGGCCTGAAAGCCTTTTCCTTTATCTTCACAGGAAGACGAGAGAGAAGCATTGTCAGAAACTTCTTTGTGATGATTGCATTCAACTCACAGAGTTGAAGATTCCTTTTGAAACAGCAGTTTCGAAACACTCTTTCTGTGGGATCCGCAAGGGGATATTTGGACCTCTTTGAAGGTTTCGTTGGAAACGGGATAATCTTCACCTAAAAGCTAAACGGAAGCACTCTCAGAAACTTCTTTGGGATGTTTGCATTCACCTCTCAGAGTTGAACTTTCCCTTTGATAGCGCAGCTTTGACACACTTTTTCTACAATGTGCAAGTGGATATTTAGCGGGCTTGGAGGACTGTGTTGGAAAAGGAAATATCTTCTCCTATAAACGACATAGAAGCATTCTCAGAAACTGCTCTGTGATGATTGCATTCAACTCCCAGAGTTGAACATTCCTTTTGATAGAGCAGTTTGCAAACACTCTTTTTGTAGAATCTGCAAGTGGAGATTTGGACCGCTTTGAGGACTGGGGTAGTAAAGGAAAGAGCTTCATATAAAAACCAGACGGTAGCACTCTCAGAAAATTCTTTGTGACGATGGAGTTTAACTCAGGGAGCTGAACATTCGTTATGATGGAGCAGTTTCCAAACACACGTTTTGTAGAATCTGCAAGGGGATATATGGACCTCTCTGAGGATTTCGCTGGAAACGGGATCAACTTCCCATAACTGAACGGAAGCAAACTCAGAACATTCTTTGTGATGTTTGTATTCAACTCACAGAGTTGAACCTTCCTTTGATAGTTCAGGTTTGCAACACCCTTGTAGTAGAATCTGCAAGTGTATATTTTGACCACTTTGTAGCCTTCGTTTGAAACGTCTATATCTTCACATCAAACCTAGACAGAAGCATTCTCAGAAAGTTTTCTGCGATGACTGCATTCAACTCACAGAGTTGAACAATCCTTTTGATGGAGCAGTTTTGAAACCCTCTTTCTTTGGAATCTGCAAGGGGATATGTGGACCTCTTTGAAGATTTCACTGGAAACGGGATCATCTTCACATAAGAACTAAACAGAAGCATTCTCGGAAACTACTTTGTGATGTTTGTATTCAGCTCCCAGAGTTGAACTTTCCTTTTGAAAGAGCAGCTATGAAACACTCTTTTTCGAGAATCTGCAAGTGGACGTTTGGAGGGCTTTGAGGCCTGTGGTGGAAAAGGAAATATCTTCACATAAAAACTAGATAGAAGCATTCTCAGAAACGACTTTGTGAGGATGGCATTCAACTCATGGAGTTGTACAGTCCTATTGATAGAGGAGATTGGAATCACTCTTTTTGTAGAATCTGCAAATGGAGATTTGGACTGCTTTGAGGCCTACGGTAGTATAGGAAGGAACTTCATATAAAAGGCAAACGGAAGCATTCTCAGAATATTTTGTGTGATGATGGAGTTTCACTCACAGAGCTGAACATGCCTTTTGATGGAGCAGTTTCCAAATACACTTTTGGTAGAATCTGCAGGTGGATATTTGGAGCTCTCTGAGGATTTCGTTGGAAACGGGAATAATTTCCCATAACTAAACACAAACACGCTGAGAAAGTTCTTCATGATGAATGCATTGAACTCGCAGAGATGAACCTGCCTTTGAGAGTTCAGGTTCGAAACACTCTTTCTGTAGAATCTGCAAGTGGATATTTGGACCACTGTCTGGCCTTCGTTCGAAACGGGTATATGTTCACGTAAAAACTAAAGAGAAGCGTTCTCAGAAACTTCTGAGTGATGATTGCATTCAAGTCACACAGTTGAACCCTCCTTTTGATTGAGCAGTTTTGAAACTGTCTTTTTGTAGAATCTGTAAGTGGATACGTGGACCTCTTTGAAGATTTCTTTGGAAACGGGAATATTTCCACAGAAAAACTAAACTGAAGCATTCTCAGAAACTGCTTTGTGATGTTTGTGTTCGAGCCACAGAGTTTAACATTGCTTTTCATAGAGCAGTTTTGAAATATTCTTTTGGCAGAATCTGCAAGTGGACATTTGGAGCGCTTTCAGGCCTGTGATGGGAAAGGCCTGAAAGCCTTTTCCTTTATCTTCACAGAAAGACGAGAGAGAAGCATTGTCAGAAACTTCTTTGTGATGATTGCATTCAACTCACAGAGTTGAAGATTCCTTTTGAAACAGCAGTTTCAAAACACTCTTTCTGTGGGATCCGCAAGGGGATATTTGGACCTCTTTGAAGATTTCGTTGGAAACGGGATAATCTTCACCTAAAAGCTAAACGGAAGCATTCTCAGAAACTTCTTTGGGATGTTTGCATTCACCTCACAGACTTGAACTTTCCCTTTGATAGCGCAGCTTCGACACACTTTTTCTACAATGTGCAAGTGGATATTTAGCGGGCTTGGAGGACTGTGTTGGAAAAGGAAATATCTTCTCCTAAAAACGACATAGAAGCATTCTCAGAAACTGCTCTGTGATGATTGCATTCAACTCCCAGAGTTGAACATTCCTTTTGATAGAGCAGTTTGCAAACACTCTTTTTGTAGAATCTGCAAGTGGAGATTTGGACCGCTTTGAGGCCTGTGGTAGTAAAGGAAAGAACTTCATATAAAAACTAGACGGTAGCACTCTCAGAAAATTTTTTGTGACGATGGAGTTTAACTCAGAGAGCTGAACATTCGTTATGATGGAGCAGTTTCCAAACACACGTTTTGTAGAATCTGCAAGGGGATATTTGGACCTCTCTGAGGATTTCGTTGGAAACGGGATCAACTTCCCATAACTGAACGGAAGCAAACTCAGAACATTCTTTATGATGTTTGAATTCAACTCACAGAGTTGAACATTCCTTTGATAGGTCAGGTTTGCAACACCCTTGCAGTAGAATCTGCAAGTGTATATTTTGACCACTTTGTAGCCTTCGTTTGAAAGGTCTATATCTTCACATCAAACCTAGACAGAAGCATTCTCAGAAAGTTTTCTGCGATGACTGCATTCAACTCACAGAGTTGAACAATCCTTTTGATGGAGCAGTTTTGAAACCCTCTTTCTTTGGAATCTGCAAGGGGATATGTGGACCTCTTTGAAGATTTCACTGGAAACGGGATCATCTTCACATAAGAACTAAACAGAAGCATTCTCGGAAACTACTTTGTGATGTTTGTATTCAACTCCCAGAGTTGAACTTTCCTTTTGAAAGAGCAGCTATGAAACACTCTTTTTCGAGAATCTGCAAGTGGACGTTTGGAGGGCTTTGAGGCCTGTGGTGGAAAAGGAAATATCTTCACATAAAAACTAGATAGAAGCATTCTCAGAAACGACTTTGTGAGGATGGCATTCAACTCATGGAGTTGAACAATCCTATTGATAGAGCAGATTGGAATCACTCTTTTTGTAGAATCTGCAAATGGAGATTTGGACTGCTTTGAGGCCTACGGTCGTATAGGAAGGAACTTCATATAAAAGGCAAACGGAAGCATTCTCAGAATATTCTTTGTGATGATGGAGTTTCACTCACAGAGCTGAACATGCCTTTTGATGGAGCAGTTTCCAAATACACTTTTGGTAGAATCTGCAGGTGGATATTTGGAGCTCTCTGAGGATTTCGTTGGAAACGGGAATAATTTCCCATAACTAAACACAAACACTCTGAGAAAGTTCTTCATGATGAATGCATTTAACTCGCAGAGATGAACCTGCCTTTGAGAGTTCAGGTTCGAAACACTCTTTCTGTAGAATCTGCAAGTGGATATTTGGACCACTGGCTGGCCTTCGTTTGAAACGGGTATATGTTCACGTAAAAACTAAAGAGAGAAGCATTCTCAGGAAACTTCTGAGTGATGATTGCATTCAAGTCACACAGTTGAACCCTCCTTTTGATGGAGCAGTTTTGAAACTGTCTTTTTGTAGAATCTGTAAGTGGATACGTGGACCTCTTTGAAGATTTCTTTGGAAACGGGAATATTTCCACAGAAAAACTAAACTGAAGCATTCTCAGAAACCGCTTTGTGATGTTTGTGTTCGAGCCACAGAGTTTAACATTGCTTTTCATAGAGCAGTTTTGAAATATTCTTTTGGCAGAATCTGCAAGTGGACATTTGGAGCGCTTTCAGGCCTGTGGTGGAAAAGGCCTGAAAGCCTTTTCCTTTATCTTCACAGAAAGACGAGAGAGAAGCATTGTCAGAAACTTCTTTGTGATGATTGCATTCAACTCACAGAGTTGAAGATTCCTTTTGAAACAGCAGTTTCGAAACACTCTTTCTGTGGGATCCGCAAGGGGATATTTGGACCTCTTTGAAGGTTTCGTTGGAAACGGGATAATCTTCACCTAAAAGCTAAACGGAAGCATTCTCAGAAACTTCTTTGGGATGTTTGCATTCACCTCACAGAGTTGAACTTTCCCTTTGATAGCGCAGCTTTGACACACTTTTTCTACAATGTGCAAGTGGATATTTAGCGGGCTTGGAGGACTGTGTTGGAAAAGGAAATATCTTCTCCTAAAAACGACATAGAAGCATTCTCAGAAACTGCTCTGTGATGATTGCATTCAACTCCCAGAGTTGAACATTCCTTTTGATAGAGCAGTTTGCAAACACTCTTTTTGTAGAATCTGCAAGTGGAGATTTGGACCGCTTTGAGGTCTGTGGTAGTGAAGGAAAGAACTTCATATAAAAACCAGACGGTAGCACTCTCAGAAAATTCTTTGTGACGATGGAGTTTAACTCAGGGAGCTGAACATTCGTTATGATGGAGCAGTTTCCAAACACACGTTTTGTAGAATCTGCAAGGGGATATTTGGACCTCTCTGAGGATTTCGTTGGAAACGGGATCAACTTCCCATAACTGAACGGAAGCAAACTCAGAACATTCTTTGTGACGTTTGTATTCAACTCACAGAGTTGAACCTTCCTTTGATAGTTCAGGTTTGCAACACCCTTGTAGTAGAATCTGCAAGTGTATATTTTGACCACTTTGTAGCCTTCGTTTGAAACGTCTATATCTTCACATCAAACCTAGACAGAAGCATTCTCAGAAAGTTTTCTGCGATGACTGCATTCAACTCACAGAGTTGAACAATCCTTCTGATGGAGCAGTTTTGAAACCCTCTTTCTTTGGAATCTGCAAGGGGATATGTGGACCTCTTTGAAGATTTCACTGGAAACGGGATCATCTTCACATAAAAACTAAACAGAAGCATTCTCGGAAACTACTTTGTGATGTTTGTATTCAACTCCCAGAGTTGAACTTTCCTTTTGAAAGAGCAGCTATGAAACACTCTTTTTCGAGAATCTGCAAGTGGACGTTTGGAGGGCTTTGAGGCCTGTGGTGGAAAAGGAAATATCTTCACATAAAAACTAGATAGAAGCATTCTCAGAAACGACTTTGTGAGGATGGCATTCAACTCATGGAGTTGAACAATCCTATTGATAGAGCAGATTGGAATCACTCTTTTTGTAGAATCTGCAAATGGAGATTTGGACTGCTTTGAGGCCTACGGTCGTATAGGAAGGAACTTCATATAAAAGGCAAACGGAAGCATTCTCAGAATATTCTTTGTGATGATGGAGTTTCACTCACAGAGCTGAACATGCCTTTTGATGGAGCAGTTTCCAAATACACTTTTGGTAGAATCTGCAGGTGGATATTTGGAGCTCTCTGAGGATTTCTTTGGAAACGGGAATAATTTCCCATAACTAAACACAAACACTCTGAGAAAGTTCTTCATGATGAATGCATTTAACTCGCAGAGATGAACCTGCCTTTGAGAGTTCAGGTTCGAAACACTCTTTCTGTAGAATCTGCAAGTGGATATTTGGACCACTGGCTGGCCTTCGTTCGAAACGGGTATATGTTCACGTAAAAACTAAAGAGAAGCGTTCTCAGAAACTTCTGAGTGATGATTGCATTCAAGTCACACAGGTGAACCCTCCTTTTGATTGAGCAGTTTTGAAACTGTCTTTTTGTAGAATCTGTAAGTGGATGTGTGGACCTCTTTGAAGATTTCTTTGGAAACGGGAATATTTCCACAGAAAAACTAAACTGAAGCATTCTCAGAAACTGCTTTGTGATGTTTGTGTTCGAGCCACAGAGTTTAACATTGCTTTTCATAGAGCAGTTTTGAAATATTCTTTTGGCAGAATCTGCAAGTGGACATTTGGAGCACTTTCAGGCCTGTGGTGGAAAAGGCCTGAAAGCCTTTTCCTTTATCTTCACAGAAAGACGAGAGAGAAGCATTGTCAGAAACTTCTTTGTGATGATTGCATTCAACTCACAGAGTTGAAGATTCCTTTTGAAACAGCAGTTTCGAAACACTCTTTCTGTGGGATCCGCAAGGGGATATTTGGACCTCTTTGAAGATTTCGTTGCCAACGGGATAATCTTCACTTAAAAGCAAAACGGAAGCATTCTCAGAAACTTCTTTGGGATGTTTGCATTCACCTCACAGAGTTGAACTTTCCCTTTGATAGCGCAGCTTCGACACACTTTTTCTATAATGTGCAAGTGGATATGTAGCGGGCTTGGAGGACTGTGTTGGAAAAGGAAATATCTTCTCCTAAAAACGACATAGAAGCATTCTCAGAAACTGCTCTGTGATGATTGCATTCAACTCCCAGAGTTGAACATTCCTTTTGATAGAGCAGTTTGCAAACACTCTTTTTGTAGAATCTGCAAGTGGAGATTTGGACCGCTTTGAGGCCTGTGGTAGTGAAGGAAAGAACTTCATATAAAAACCAGACGGTAGCACTCTCAGAAAATTCTTTGTGACGATGGAGTTTAACTCAGGGAGCTGAACATTCGTTATGATGGAGCAGTTTCCAAACACACGTTTTGTAGAATCTGCGAGGGGATATTTGGACCTCTCTGAGGATTTCGTTGGAAACGGGATCAACTTCCCATAACTGAACGGAAGCAAACTCAGAACATTCTTTGTGATGTTTGTATTCAACTCACAGAGTTGAACCTTCCTTTGATAGTTCAGGTTTGCAACACCCTTGTAGTAGAATCTGCAAGTGTATATTTTGACCACTTTGTAGCCTTCGTTTGAAACGTCTATATCTTCACATCAAACCTAGACAGAAGCATTCTCAGAAAGTTTTCTACGATGACTGCATTCAACTCACAGAGTTGAACAATCCTCTGATGGAGCAGTTTTGAAACCCTCTTTCTTTGGAATCTGCAAGGGGATATGTGGACCTCTTTGAAGATTTCACTGGAAACGGGATCATCTTCACATAAAAACTAAACAGAAGCATTCTCGGAAACTATTTTGTGATGTTTGTATTCAACTCCCAGAGTTGAACTTTCCTTTTGAAAGAGCAGCTATGAAACACTCCTTTTCGAGAATCTGCAAGTGGACGTTTGGAGGGCTTTGAGGCCTGTGGTGGAAAAGGAAATATCTTCACACAAAAACCAGATAGAAGCATTCTCAGAAACTACTTTGTGAGGATGGCATTCAACTCATGGAGTTGAACAATCCTATTGATAGAGCAGATTGGAATCACTCTTTTTATAGAATCTGCAAATGGAGATTTGGACTGCTTTGAGGCCTACGGTAGTACAGGAAGGAACTTCATATAAAAGGCAAACGGAAGCATTCTCAGAATATTCTTTGTGATGATGGAGTTTCACTCACAGAGCTGAACATGCCTTTTGATGGAGCAGTTTCCAAATACACTTTTGGTAGAATCTGCAGGTGGATATTTGGAGCTCTCTGAGGATTTCGTTGGAAACGGGAATAATTTCCCATAACTAAACACAAACACTCTGAGAAAGTTCTTCATGATGAATGCTTTTAACTCGCAGAGATGAACCTGCCTTTGAGAGTTCAGGTTCGAAACACTCTTTCTGTAGAATCTGCAAGTGGATATTTGGACCACTGGGTGGCCTTCGTTCGAAACGGGTATATGTTCACGTAAAAACTAAAGAGAAGCATTCTCAGAAACTTCTGAGTGATGATTGCATTCAAGTCACACGGTTGAACCCTCCTTTTGATGGAGCAGTTTTGAAACTGTCTTTTTGTAGAATCTGTAAGTGGATGCGTGGACCTCTTTGAAGATTTCTTTGGAAACGGGAATATTTCCACAGAAAAACTAAACTGAAGCATTCTCAGAAACCGCTTTGTGATGTTTGTGTTCGAGCCGCAGAGTTTAACATTGCTTTTCATAGAGCAGTTTTGAAATATTCTTTTCGCAGAATCTGCAAGTGGACATTTGGAGCGCTTTCAGGCCTGTGGTGGAAAAGGCCTGAAAGCCTTTTCCTTTATCTTCACAGAAAGACGAGAGAGAAGCATTGTCAGAAACTTCTTTGTGATGATTGCATTCAACTCACAGAGTTGAAGATTCCTTTTGAAACAGCAGTTTCGAAACACTCTTTCTGTGGGATCCGCAAGGGGATATTTGGACCTCTTTGAAGGTTTCGTTGGAAACGGGATAATCTTCACCTAAAAGCTAAACGGAAGCATTCTCAGAAACTTCTTTGGGATGTTTGCATTCACCTCACAGAGTTGAACTTTCCCTTTGATAGCGCAGCTTTGACACACTTTTTCTACAATGTGCAAGTGGCTATTTAGCGGGCTTGGAGGACTGTGTTGGAAAAGGAAATATCTTCTCCTAAAAACGACATAGAAGCATTCTCAGAAACTGCTCTGTGATGATTGCATTCAACTCCCAGAGTTGAACATTCCTTTTGATAGAGCAGTTTGCAAACACTCTTTTTGTAGAATCTGCAAGTGGAGATTTGGACCGCTTTGAGGCCTGTGGTAGTGAAGGAAAGAACTTCATATAAAAACCAGACGGTAGCACTCTCAGAAAATTCTTTGTGACGATGGAGTTTAACTCAGGGAGCTGAACATTCGTTATGATGGAGCAGTTTCCAAACACACGTTTTGTAGAATCTGCAAGGGGATATTTGGACCTCTCTGAGGATTTCGTTGGAAACGGGATCAACTTCCCATAACTGAACGGAAGCAAACTCAGAACATTCTTTGTGATGTTTGTATTCAACTCACAGAGTTGAACCTTCCTTTGATAGTTCAGGTTTGCAACACCCTTGTAGTAGAATCTGCAAGTGTATATTTTGACCACTTTGTAGCCTTCGTTTGAAACGTCTATATCTTCACATCAAACCTAGACAGAAGCATTCTCAGAAAGTTTTCTGCGATGACTGCATTCAACTCACAGAGTTGAACAATCCTTCTGATGGAGCAGTTTTGAAACCCTCTTTCTTTGGAATCTGCAAGGGGATATGTGGACCTCTTTGAAGATTTCACTGGAAACGGGATCATCTTCACATAAAAACTAAACAGAAGCATTCTCGGAAACTACTTTGTGATGTTTGTATTCAACTGCCAGAGTTGAACTTTCCTTTTGAAAGAGCAGCTATGAAACACTCTTTTTCGAGAATCTGCAAGTGGACGTTTGGAGGGCTTTGAGGCCTGTGGTGGAAAAGGAAATATCTTCACATAAAACTAGATAGAAGCATTCTCAGAAACTACTTTGTGAGGATGGCATTCAACTCATGGAGTTGAACAATCCTATTGATAGAGCAGATTGGAATCACTCTTTTTGTAGAATCTGCAAATGGAGATTTGGACTGCTTTGAGGCCTACGGTCGTATAGGAAGGAACTTCAGATAAAAGGCAAACGGAAGCATTCTCAGAATATTCTTTGTGATGATGGAGTTTCACTCACAGAGCTGAACATGCCTTTTGATGGAGCAGTTTCCAAATACACTTTTGGTAGAATCTGCAGGTGGATATTTGGAGCTCTCTGAGGATTTCTTTGGAAACGGGAATAATTTCCCATAACTAAACACAAACACTCTGAGAAAGTTCTTCATGATGAATGCATTTAACTCGCAGAGATGAACCTGCCTTTGGGAGTTCAGGTTCGAAACACTCTTTCTGTAGAATCTGCAAGTGGATATTTGGACCACTGGGTGGCCTTCGTTCGAAACGGGTATATGTTCACGTAAAAACTAAAGAGAAGCATTCTCAGAAACTTCTGAGTGATGATTGCATTCAAGTCACACAGTTGAACCCTCCTTTTGATGGAGCAGTTTTGAAACTGTCTTTTTGTAGAATCTGTAAGTGGATACGTGGACCTCTTTGAAGATTTCTTTGGAAACGGGAATATTTCCACAGAAAAACTAAACTGAAGCATTCTCAGAAACTGCTTTGTGATGTTTGTGTTCGAGCCACAGAGTTTAACATTGCTTTTCATAGAGCAGTTTTGAAATATTCTTTTCGCAGAATCTGCAAGTGGACATTTGGAGCGCTTTCAGGCCTGTGGTGGAAAAGGCCTGAAAGCCTTTTCCTTTATCTTCACAGAAAGACGAGAGAGAAGCATTGTCAGAAACTTCTTTGTGATGATTGCATTCAACTCACAGAGTTGAAGATTCCTTTTGAAACAGCAGTTTCGAAACACTCTTTCTGAGGGATCCGCAAGGGGATATTTGGACCTCTTTGAAGGTTTCGTTGGAAGCGGGATAATCTTCACCTAAAAGCTAAACGGAAGCACTCTCAGAAACTTCTTTGGGATGTTTGCATTCACCTCACAGAGTTGAACTTTCCCTTTGATAGCGCAGCTTTGACACACTTTTTCTACAATGTGCAAGTGGCTATTTAGCGGGCTTGGAGGACTGTGTTGGAAAAGGAAATATCTTCTCCTAAAAACGACATAGAAGCATTCTCAGAAACTGCTCTGTGATGATTGCATTCAACTCCCAGAGTTGAACATTCCTTTTGATAGAGCAGTTTGCAAACACTCTTTTTGTAGAATCTGCAAGTGGAGATTTGGACCGCTTTGAGGCCTGTGGTAGTAAAGGAAAGAACTTCATATAAAAACCAGACGGTAGCACTCTCAGAAAATTCTTTGTGACGATGGAGTTTAACTCAGGGAGCTGAACATTCGTTATGATGGAGCAGTTTCCAAACACACGTTTTGTAGAATCTGCAAGGGGATATTTGGACCTCTCTGAGGATTTCGCTGGAAACGGGATCAACTTCCCATAACTGAACGGAAGCAAACTCAGAACATTCTTTGTGATGTTTGTATTCAACTCACAGAGTTGAACCTTCCTTTGATAGTTCAGGTTTGCAACACCCTTGTAGTAGAATCTGCAAGTGTATATTTTGACCACTTTGTAGCCTTCGTTTGAAACGTCTATATCTTCACATCAAACCTAGACAGAAGCATTCTCAGAAAGTTTTCTGCGATGACTGCATTCAACTCACAGAGTTGAACAATCCTTTTGATGGAGCAGTTTTGAAACCCTCTTTCTTTGGAATCTGCAAGGGGATATGTGGACCTCTTTGAAGATTTCACTGGAAACGGGATCATCTTCACATAAAAACTAAACAGAAGCATTCTCGGAAACTATTTTGTGATGTTTGTATTCAACTCCCAGAGTTGAACTTTCCTTTTGAAAGAGCAGCTATGAAACACTCTTTTTCGAGAATCTGCAAGTGGACGTTTGGAGGGCTTTGAGGCCTGTGGTGGAAAAGGAAATATCTTCACACAAAAACCAGATAGAAGCATTCTCAGAAACGACTTTGTGAGGATGGCATTCAACTCATGGAGTTGAACAATCCTATTGATAGAGCAGATTGGAATCACTCTTTTTGTAGAATCTGCAAATGGAGATTTGGACTGCTTTGAGGCCTACGGTAGTATAGGAAGGAACTTCATATAAAAGGCAAACGGAAGCATTCTCAGAATATTCTTTGTGATGATGGAGTTTCACTCACAGAGCTGAACATGCCTTTTGATGGAGCAGTTTCCAAATACACTTTTGGTAGAATCTGCAGGTGGATATTTGGAGCTCTCTGAGGATTTCGTTGGAAACGGGAATAATTTCCCATAACTAAACACAAACACTCTGAGAAAGTTCTTCATGATGAATGCATTTAACTCGCAGAGATGAACCTGCCTTTGAGAGTTCAGGTTCGAAACACTCTTTCTGTAGAATCTGCAAGTGGATATTTGGACCACTGGCTGGCCTTCGTTCGAAACGGGTATATGTTCACGTAAAAACTAAAGAGAAGCATTCTCAGAAACTTCTGAGTGATGATTGCATTCAACTCACACAGTTGAACCCTCCTTTTGATGGAGCAGTTTTGAAACTGTCTTTTTGTAGAATCTGTAAGTGGATACGTGGACCTCTTTGAAGATTTCTTTGGAAACGGGAATATTTCCACAGAAAAACTAAACTGAAGCATTCTCAGAAACCGCTTTGTGATGTTTGTGTTCGAGCCACAGAGTTTAACATTGCTTTTCATAGAGCAGTTTTGAAATATTCTTTTGGCAGAATCTGCAAGTGGACATTTGGAGCGCTTTCAGGCCTGTGGTGGAAAAGGCCTGAAAGCCTTTTCCTTTACCTTCACAGAAAGGCGAGAGAGAAGCATTGTCAGAAACTTCTTTGTGATGATTGCATTCAACTCACAGAGTTGAAGATTCCTTTTGAAACAGCAGTTTCGAAACACTCTGTGGGATCCGCAAGGGGATATTTGGACCTCTTTGAAGGTTTCGTTGGAAACGGGATAATCTTCACCTAAAAGCTAAACGGAAGCATTCTCAGAAACTTCTTTGGGATGTTTGCATTCACCTCACAGAGTTGAACTTTCCCTTTGATAGCGCAGCTTTGACACACTTTTTCTACAATGTGCAAGTGGCTATTTAGCGGGCTTGGAGGACTGTGTTGGAAAAGGAAATATCTTCTCCTAAAAACGACATAGAAGCATTCTCAGAAACTGCTCTGTGATGATTGCATTCAACTCCCAGAGTTGAACATTCCTTTTGATAGAGCAGTTTGCAAACACTCTTTTTGTAGAATCTGCAAGTGGAGATTTGGACCGCTTTGAGGCCTGTGGTAGTGAAGGAAAGAGCATCATATAAAAACCAGACGGTAGCACTCTCAGAAAATTCTTTGTGACGATGGAGTTTAACTCAGGGAGCTGAACATTCGTTATGATGGAGCAGTTTCCAAACACACGTTTTGTAGAATCTGCAAGGGGATATTTGGACCTCTCTGAGGATTTCGTTGGAAACGGGATCAACTTCCCATAACTGAACGGAAGCAAACTCAGAACATTCTTTGTGATGTTTGTATTCAACTCACAGAGTTGAACCTTCCTTTGATAGTTCAGGTTTGCAACACCCTTGTAGTAGAATCTGCAAGTGTATATTTTGACCACTTTGTAGCCTTCGTTTGAAACGTCTATATCTTCACATCAAACCTAGACAGAAGCATTCTCAGAAAGTTTTCTGCGATGACTGCATTCCACTCACAGAGTTGAACAATCCTTCTGATGGAGCAGTTTTGAAACCCTCTTTCTTTGGAATCTGCAAGGGGATATGTGGACCTCTTTGAAGATTTCACTGGAAACGGGATCATCTTCACATAAAAACTAAACAGAAGCATTCTCGGAAACTACTTTGTGATGTTTGTATTCAACTCCCAGAGTTGAACTTTCCTTTTGAAAGAGCAGCTATGAAACACTCTTTTTCGAGAATCTGCAAGTGGACGTTTGGAGGGCTTTGAGGCCTGTGGTGGAAAAGGAAATATCTTCACATTAAAACTAGATAGAAGCATTCTCAGAAACGACTTTGTGAGGATGGCATTCAACTCATGGAGTTGAACAATCCTATTGATAGAGCAGATTGGAATCACTCTTTTTGTAGAATCTGCAAATGGAGATTTGGACTGCTTTGAGGCCTACGGTAGTATAGGAAGGAAGTTCATATAAAAGGCAAACGGAAGCATTCTCAGAATATTCTTTGTGATGATGGAGTTTCACTCACAGAGCTGAACATGCCTTTTGATGGAGCAGTTTCCAAATACACTTTTGGTAGAATCTGCAGGTGGATATTTGGAGCTCTCTGAGGATTTCGTTGGAAACGGGAATAATTTCCCATAACTAAACACAAACACTCTGAGAAAGTTCTTCATGATGAATGCATTTAACTCGCAGAGATGAACCTGCCTTTGAGAGTTCAGGTTCGAAACACTCTTTCTGTAGAATCTGCAAGTGGATATTTGGACCACTGGCTGGCCTTCGTTCGAAACGGGTATATGTTCACGTAAAAACTAAAGAGAAGCATTCTCAGAAACTTCTGAGTGATGATTGCATTCAAGTCACACAGTTGAACCCTCCTTTTGATTGAGCAGTTTTGAAACTGTCTTTTTGTAGAATCTGTAAGTGGATGCGTGGACCTCTTTGAAGATTTCTTTGGAAACGGGAATATTTCCACAGAAAAACTAAACTGAAGCATTCTCAGAAACTGCTTTGTGATGTTTGTGTTCGAGCCACAGAGTTTAACATTGCTTTTCATAGAGCAGTTTTGAAATATTCTTTTGGCAGAATCTGCAAGTGGACATTTGGAGCGCTTTCAGGCCTGTGGTGGAAAAGGCCTGAAAGCCTTTTCCTTTATCTTCACAGAAAGACGAGAGAGAAGCATTGTCAGAAACTTCTTTGTGATGATTGCATTCAACTCACAGAGTTGAAGATTCCTTTTGAAACAGCAGTTTCGAAACACTCTTTCTGTGGGATCCGCAAGGGGATATTTGGACCTCTTTGAAGATTTCGTTGGAAACGGGATAATCTTCACCTAAAAGCTAAACGGAAGCATTCTCAGAAACTTCTTTGGGATGTTTGCATTCACCTCACAGAGTTGAACTTTCCCTTTGATAGCGCAGCTTCGACACACTTTTTCTACAATGTGCAAGTGGCTATTTAGCGGGCTTGGAGGACTGTGTTGGAAAAGGAAATATCTTCTCCTAAAAACGACATAGAAGCATTCTCAGAAACTGCTCTGTGATGATTGCATTCAACTCCCAGAGTTGAACATTCCTTTTGATAGAGCAGTTTGCAGACACTCTTTTTGTAGAATCTGCAAGTGGAGATTTGGACCGCTTTGAGGCCTGTGGTAGTAAAGGAAAGAACTTCATATAAAATCTAGACGGTAGCACTCTCAGAAAATTCTTTGTGACGATGGAGTTTAACTCAGAGAGCTGAACATTCGTTATGATGGAGCAGTTTCCAAACACACGTTTTGCAGAATCTGCAAGGGGATATTTGGACCTCTCTGAGGATTTCGTTGGAAACGGGATCAACTTCCCATAACTGAACGGAAGCAAACTCAGAACATTCTTTGTGATGTTTGTATTCAACTCACAGAGTTGAACCTTCCTTTGATAGTTCAGGTTTGCAACACCCTTGTAGTAGAATCTGCAAGTGTATATTTTGACCACTTTGTAGCCTTCGTTTGAAACGTCTATATCTTCACATCAAACCTAGACAGAAGCATTCTCAGAAAGTTTTCTGCGATGACTGCATTCAACTCACAGAGTTGAACAATCCTTTTGATGGAGCAGTTTTGAAACCCTCTTTCTTTGGAATCTGCAAGGGGATATGTGGACCTCTTTGAAGATTTCACTGGAAACGGGATCATCTTCACATAAGAACTAAACAGAAGCATTCTCGGAAACTACTTTGTGATGTTTGTATTCAACTCCCAGAGTTGAACTTTCCTTTTGAAAGAGCAGCTATGAAACACTCTTTTTCGAGAATCTGCAAGTGGACGTTTGGAGGGCTTTGAGGCCTGTGGTGGAAAAGGAAATATCTTCACATAAAAACTAGATAGAAGCATTCTCACAAACGACTTTGTGAGGATGGCATTCAACTCATGGAGTTGAACAATCCTATTGATAGAGCAGATTGGAATCACTCTTTTTGTAGAATCTGCAAATGGAGATTTGGACTGCTTTGAGGCCTACGGTAGTATAGGAAGGAACTTCATATAAAAGGCAAACGGAAGCATTCTCAGAATATTCTTTGTGATGATGGAGTTTCACTCACAGAGCTGAACATGCCTTTTGATGGAGCAGTTTCCAAATACACTTTTGGTAGAATCTGCAGGTGGATATTTGGACCTCTCTGAGGATTTCGTTGGAAACGGGAATAATTTCCCATACCTAAACACAAACACTCTGAGAAAGTTCTTCATGATGAATGCATTGAACTCGCAGAGATGAACCTGCCTTTGAGAGTTCAGGTTCGAAACACTCTTTCTGTAGAATCTGCAAGTGGATATTTGGACCACTGGGTGGCCTTCGTTCGAAACGGGTATATGTTCACGTAAGAACTAAAGAGAAGCGTTCTCAGAAACTTCTGAGTGATGATTGCATTCAAGTCACACGGTTGAACCCTCCTTTTGATTGAGCAGTTTTGAAACTGTCTTTTTGTAGAATCTGTAAGTGGATGCTTGGACCTCTTTGAAGATTTCTTTCGAAACGGGAATATTTCCACAGAAAAACTAAACTGAAGCATTCTCAGAAACTGCTTTGTGATGTTTGTGTTCGAGCCACAGAGTTTAACATTGCTTTTCATAGAGCAGTTTTGAAATATTCTTTTGGTAGAATCTGCAAGTGGACATTTGGAGCGCTTTCAGGCCTGTGGTGGAAAAGGCCTGAAAGCCTTTTCCTTTATCTTCACAGAAAGACGAGAGAGAAGCATTGTCAGAAACTTCTTTGTGATGATTGCATTCAACTCACAGAGTTGAAGATTCCTTTTGAAACAGCAGTTTCGAAACACTCTTTCTGTGGGATCCGCAAGGGGATATTTGGACCTCTTTGAAGATTTCGTTGGAAACGGGATAATCTTCACCTAAAAGCTAAACGGAAGCATTCTCAGAAACTTCTTTGGGATGTTTGCATTCACCTCACAGAGTTGAACTTTCCCTTTGATAGCGCAGCTTCGACACACTTTTTCTACAATGTGCAAGTGGATATTTAGCGGGCTTGGAGGACTGTGTTGGAAAAGGAAATATCTTCTCCTAAAAACGACATAGAAGCATTCTCAGAAACTGCTCTGTGATGATTGCATTCAACTCCCAGAGTTGAACATTCCTTTTGATAGAGCAGTTTGCAAACACTGTTTTTGTAGAATCTGCAAGTGGAGATTTGGACCGCTTTGAGGCCTGTGGTAGTAAAGGAAAGAACTTCATATAAAAACTAGACGGTAGCACCCTCAGAAAATTCTTTGTGACGATGGAGTTTAACTCAGAGAGCTGAACATTCGTTATGATGGAGCAGTTTCCAAACACACGTTTTGTAGAATCTGCAAGGGGATATTTGGACCTCTCTGAGGATTTCGTTGGAAACGGGATCAACTTCCCATAGCTGAACGGAAGCAAACTCAGAACATTCTTTGTGATGTTTGTATTCAACTCACAGAGTTGAACCTTCCTTTGATAGTTCAGGTTTGCATCACCCTTGTAGTAGAATCTGCAAGTGTATATTTTGACCACTTTGTAGCGTTCGTTTGAAACGTCTATATCTTCACATCAAACCTAGACAGAAGCATTCTCAGAAAGTTTTCTGCGATGACTGCATTCAACTCACAGAGTTGAACAATCCTTTTGATGGAGCAGTTTTGAAACCCTCTTTCTTTGGAATCTGCAAGGGGATATGTGGACCTCTTTGAAGGTTTCACTGGAAACGGGATCATCTTCACATAAGAACTAAACAGAAGCATTCTCGGAAACTACTTTGTGATGTTTGTATTCAACTCCCAGAGTTGAACTTTCCTTTTGAAAGAGCAGCTATGAAACACACTTTTTCGAGAATCTGCAAGTGGACGTTTGGAGGGCTTTGAGGCCTGTGGTGGAAAAGGAAATATCTTCACATAAAAACTAGATAGAAGCATTCTCAGACACGACTTTGTGAGGATGGCATTCAACTCATGGAGTTGAACAGTCCTGTTGATAGAGCAGATTGGAATCACTCTTTTTGTAGAATCTGCAAATGGAGATTTGGACTGCTTTGAGGCCTACGGTAGTATAGGAAGGAACTTCATATAAAAGGCAAACGGAAGCATTCTCAGAATATTCTTTGTGATGATGGAGTTTCACTCACAGAGCTGAACATGCCTTTTGATGGAGCAGTTTCCAAATACACTTTTGGTAGAATCTGCAGGTGGATATTTGGAGCTCTCTGAGGCTTTCGTTGGAAACGGGAATAATTTCCCATAACTAAACACAAACACGCTGAGAAAGTTCTTCATGATGAATGCATTGAACTCGCAGAGATGAACCTGCCTTTGAGAGTTCAGGTTCGAAACACTCTTTCTGTAGAATCTGCAAGTGGATATTTGGACCACTGGGTGGCCTTCGTTCGAAACGGGTATATGTTCACGTAAAAACTAAAGAGAAGCATTCTCAGAAACTTCTGAGTGATGATTGCATTCAAGTCACACAGTTGAACCCTCCTTTTGATGGAGCAGTTTTGAAACTGTCTTTTTGTAGAATCTGTAAGTGGATACGTGGACCTCTTTGAAGATTTCTTTGGAAACGGGAATATTTCCACAGAAAAACTAAACTGAAGCATTCTCAGAAACCGCTTTGTGATGTTTGTGTTCAAGCCACAGAGTTTAACATTGCTTTTCATAGAGCAGTTTTGAAATATTCTTTTCGCAGAATCTGCAAGTGGACATTTGGAGCGCTTTCAGGCCTGTGGTGGAAAAGGCCTGAAAGCCTTTTCCTTTATCTTCACAGAAAGACGAGAGAGAAGCATTGTCAGAAACTTCTTTGTGATGATTGCATTCAACTCACAGAGTTGAAGATTCCTTTTGAAACAGCAGTTTCGAAACACTCTTTCTGTGGGATCCGCAAGGGGATATTTGGACCTCTTTGAAGGTTTCGTTGGAAACGGGATAATCTTCACCTAAAAGCTAAACGGAAGCATTCTCAGAAACTTCTTTGGGATGTTTGCATTCACCTCACAGAGTTGAACTTTCCCTTTGATAGCGCAGCTTTGACACACTTTTTCTACAATGTGCAAGTGGCTATTTAGCGGGCTTGGAGGACTGTGTTGGAAAAGGAAATATCTTCTCCTAAAAACGACATAGAAGCATTCTCAGAAACTGCTCTGTGATGATTGCATTCAACTCCCAGAGTTGAACATTCCTTTTGATAGAGCAGTTTGCAAACACTCTTTTTGTAGAATCTGCAAGTGGAGATTTGGACCGCTTTGAGGCCTGTGGTAGTGAAGGAAAGAACTTCATATAAAAACCAGACGGTAGCACTCTCAGAAAATTCTTTGTGACGATGGAGTTTAACTCATGGAGCTGAACATTCGTTATGATGGAGCAGTTTCCAAACACACGTTTTGTAGAATCTGCGAGGGGATATTTGGACCTCTCTGAGGATTTCGTTGGAAACGGGATCAACTTCCCATAACTGAACGGAAGCAAACTCAGAACATTCTTTGTGATGTTTGTATTCAACTCACAGAGTTGAACCTTCCTTTGATAGTTCAGGTTTGCAACACCCTTGTAGTAGAATCTGCAAGTGTATATTTTGACCACTTTGTAGCCTTCGTTTGAAACGTCTATATCTTCACATCAAACCTAGACAGAAGCATTCTCAGAAAGTTTTCTGCGATGACTGCATTCAACTCACAGAGTTGAACAATCCTCTGATGGAGCAGTTTTGAAACCCTCTTTCTTTGGAATCTGCAAGGGGATATGTGGACCTCTTTGAAGATTTCACTGGAAACGGGATCATCTTCACATAAAAACTAAACAGAAGCATTCTCGGAAACTACTTTGTGATGTTTGTATTCAACTCCCAGAGTTGAACTTTCCTTTTGAAAGAGCAGCTATGAAACACTCTTTTTCGAAAATCTGCAAGTGGACGTTTGGAGGGCTTTGAGGCCTGTGGTGGAAAAGGAAATATCTTCACACAAAAACCAGATAGAAGCATTCTCAGAAACTACTTTGTGAGGATGGCATTCAACTCATGGAGTTGAACAATCCTATTGATAGAGCAGATTGGAATCACTCTTTTTATAGAATCTGCAAATGGAGATTTGGACTGCTTTGAGGCCTACGGTAGTACAGGAAGGAACTTCATATAAAAGGCAAACGGAAGCATTCTCAGAATATTCTTTGTGATGATGGAGTTTCACTCACAGAGCTGAACATGCTTTTTGATGGAGCAGTTTCCAAATACACTTTTGGTAGAATCTGCAGGTGGATATTTGGAGCTCTCTGAGGATTTCGTTGGAAACGGGAATAATTTCCCATAACTAAACACAAACACTCTGAGAAAGTTCTTCATGATGAATGCATTTAACTCGCAGAGATGAACCTGCCTTTGAGAGTTCAGGTTCGAAACACTCTTTCTGTAGAATCTGCAAGTGGATATTTGGACCACTGGGTGGCCTTCGTTCGAAACGGGTATATGTTCACGTAAAAACTAAAGAGAAGCATTCTCAGAAACTTCTGAGTGATGATTGCATTCAAGTCACACAGTTGAACCCTCCTTTTGATGGAGCAGTTTTGAAACTGTCTTTTTGTAGAATCTGTAAGTGGATGCGTGGACCTCTTTGAAGATTTCTTTGGAAACGGGAATATTTCCACAGAAAAACTAAACTGAAGCATTCTCAGAAACTGCTTTGTGATGTTTGTGTTCGAGCCACAGAGTTTAACATTGCTTTTCATAGAGCAGTTTTGAAATATTCTTTTCGCAGAATCTGCAAGTGGACATTTGGAGCGCTTTCAGGCCTGTGGTGGCAAAGGCCTGAAAGCCTTTTCCTTTATCTTCACAGAAAGACGAGAGAGAAGCATTGTCAGAAACTTCTTTGTGATGATTGCATTCAACTCACAGAGTTGAAGATTCCTTTTGAAACAGCAGTTTCGAAACACTCTTTCTGTGGGATCCGCAAGGGGATATTTGGACCTCTTTGAAGGTTTCGTTGGAAACGGGATAATCTTCACCTAAAAGCTAAACGGAAGCATTCTCAGAAACTTCTTTGGGATGTTTGCATTCACCTCACAGAGTTGAACTTTCCCTTTGATAGCGCAGCTTTGACACACTTTTTCTACAATGTGCAAGTGGCTATTTAGCGGGCTTGGAGGACTGTGTTGGAAAAGGAAATATCTTCTCCTAAAAACGACATAGAAGCATTCTCAGAAACTGCTCTGTGATGATTGCATTCAACTCCCAGAGTTGAACATTCCTTTTGATAGAGCAGTTTGCAAACACTCTTTTTGTAGAATCTGCAAGTGGAGATTTGGACCGCTTTGAGGCCTGTGGTAGTGAAGGAAAGAACTTCATATAAAAACCAGACGGTAGCACTCTCAGAAAATTCTTTGTGACGATGGAGTTTAACTCAGGGAGCTGAACATTCGTTATGATGGAGCAGTTTCCAAACACACGTTTTGTAGAATCTGCAAGGGGATATTTGGACCTCTCTGAGGATTTCGTTGGAAACGGGATCAACTTCCCATAACTGAACGGAAGCAAACTCAGAACATTCTTTGTGATGTTTGTATTCAACTCACAGAGTTGAACCTTCCTTTGATAGTTCAGGTTTGCAACACCCTTGTAGTAGAATCTGCAAGTGTATATTTTGACCACTTTGTAGCCTTCATTTGAAACGTCTATATCTTCACATCAAACCTAGACAGAAGCATTCTCAGAAAGTTTTCTGCGATGACTGCATTCAACTCACAGAGTTGAACAATCCTTCTGATGGAGCAGTTTTGAAACCCTCTTTCTTTGGAATCTGCAAGGGGATATGTGGACCTCTTTGAAGATTTCACTGGAAACGGGATCATCTTCACATAAAAACTAAACAGAAGCATTCTCGGAAACTACTTTGTGATGTTTGTATTCAACTCCCAGAGTTGAACTTTCCTTTTGAAAGAGCAGCTATGAAACACTCTTTTTCGAGAATCTGCAAGTGGACGTTTGGAGGGCTTTGAGGCCTGTGGTGGAAAAGGAAATATCTTCACATAAAAACTAGATAGAAGCATTCTCAGAAACTACTTTGTGAGGATGGCATTCAACTCATGGAGTTGAACAATCCTATTGATAGAGCAGATTGGAATCACTCTTTTTGTAGAATCTGCAAATGGAGATTTGGACTGCTTTGAGGCCTACGGTCGTATAGGAAGGAACTTCAGATAAAAGGCAAACGGAAGCATTCTCAGAATATTCTTTGTGATGATGGAGTTTCACTCACAGAGCTGAACATGCCTTTTGATGGAGCAGTTTCCAAATACACTTTTGGTAGAATCTGCAGGTGGATATTTGGAGCTCTCTGAGGATTTCGTTGGAAACGGGAATAATTTCCCATAACTAAACACAAACACTCTGAGAAAGTTCTTCATGATGAATGCATTTAACTCGCAGAGATGAACCTGCCTTTGAGAGTTCAGGTTCGAAACACTCTTTCTGTATAATCTGCAAGTGGATATTTGGACCACTGGGTGGCCTTCGTTCGAAACGGGTATATGTTCACGTAAAAACTAAAGAGAAGCATTCTCAGAAACTTCTGAGTGATGATTGCATTCAATTCACACAGTTGAACCCTCCTTTTGATGGAGCAGTTTTGAAACTGTCTTTTTGTAGAATCTGTAAGTGGATACGTGGACCTCTTTGAAGATTTCTTTGGAAACGGGAATATTTCCACAGAAAAACTAAACTGAAGCATTCTCAGAAACTGCTTTGTGATGTTTGTGTTCGAGCCACAGAGTTTAACATTGCTTTTCATAGAGCAGTTTTGAAATATTCTTTTGGCAGAATCTGCAAGTGGACATTTGGAGCGCTTTCAGGCCTGTGGTGGAAAAGGCCTGAAAGCCTTTTCCTTTATTTTCACAGAAAGACGAGAGAGAAGCATTGTCAGAAACTTCTTTGTGATGATTGCATTCAACTCACAGAGTTGAAGATTCCTTTTGAAACAGCAGTTTCGAAACACTCTTTCTGTGGGATCCGCAAGGGGATATTTGGACCTCTTTGAAGGTTTCGTTGGAAACGGGATAATCTTCACCTAAAAGCTAAACGGAAGCATTCTCAGAAACTTCTTTGGGATGTTTGCATTCACCTCACAGAGTTGAACTTTCCCTTTGATAGCGCAGCTTTGACACACTTTTTCTACAATGTGCAAGTGGCTATTTAGCGGGCTTGGAGGATTGTGTTGGAAAAGGAAATATCTTCTCCTAAAAACGACATAGAAGCATTCTCAGAAACTGCTCTGTGATGATTGCATTCAACTCCCAGAGTTGAACATTCCTTTTGATAGAGCAGTTTGCAAACACTCTTTTTGTAGAATCTGCAAGTGGAGACTTGGACCGCTTTGAGGCCTGTGGTAGTGAAGGAAAGAACTTCATATAAAAACCATACGGTAGCACTCTCAGAAAATTCTTTGTGACGATGGAGTTTAACTCAGGGAGCTGAACATTCGTTATGATGGAGCAGTTTCCAAACACACGTTTTGAAGAATCTGCAAGGGGATATTTGGACCTCTCTGAGGATTTCGTTGTAAACGGGATCAACTTCCCATAACTGAACGGAAGCAAACTCAGAACATTCTTTGCGATGTTTGTATTCAACCCACAGAGTTGAACCTTCCTTTGATAGTTCAGGTTTGCAACACCCTTGTAGTAGAATCTGTAAGTGTATATTTTGACCACTTTGTAGCCTTCGTTTTAAACGTCTATAACTTCACATCAAACCTAGACAGAAGCATTCTCAGAAAGTTTTCTGCGATGACTGCATTCAACTCACAGAGTTGAACAATCCTTTTGATGGAGCAGTTTTGAAACCCTCTTTCTTTGGAATCTGCAAGGGGATATGTGGACCTCTTTGAAGATTTCACTGGAAACGGGATCATCTTCACATAAGAACTAAACAGAAGCATTCTCGGAAACTACTTTGTGATGTTTGTATTCAACTCCCAGAGTTGAACTTTCCTTTTGAAAGAGCAGCTATGAAACACTCTTTTTCGAGAATCTGCAAGTGGACGTTTGGAGGGCTTTGAGGCCTGTGGTGGAAAAGGAAATATCTTCACATAAAAACTAGATAGAAGCATACTCAGAAACGACTTTGTGAGGATGGCCTTCAACTCATGGAGTTGAACAATCCTATTGATAGAGCAGATTGGAATCACTCTTTTTGTAGAATCTGCAAATGGAGATTTGGACTGCTTTGAGGCCTACGGTAGTATAGGAAGGAACTTCATATAAAAGGCAAACGGAAGCATTCTCAGAATATTCTTTGTGATGATGGAGTTTCACTCACAGAGCTGAGCATGCCTTTTGATGGAGCAGTTTCCAAATACACTTTTGGTAGAATCTGCAGGTGGATATTTGGAGCTCTCTGAGGATTTCGTTGGAAACGGGAATAATTTCCCATAACTAAACACAAACACTCTGAGAAAGTTCTTCATGATGAATGCTTTTAACTCGCAGAGATGAACCTGCCTTTGAGAGTTCAGGTTCGAAACACTCTTTCTGTAGAATCTGCAAGTGGATATTTGGACCACTGGGTGGCCTTCGTTCGAAACGGGTATATGTTCACGTAAAAACTAAAGAGAAGCATTCTCAGAAACTTCTGAGTGATGATTGCATTCAAGTCACACGGTTGAACCCTCCTTTTGATGGAGCAGTTTTGAAACTGTCTTTTTGTAGAATCTGTAAGTGGATGCGTGGACCTCTTTGAAGATTTCTTTGGAAACGGGAATATTTCCACAGAAAAACTAAACTGAAGCATTCTCAGAAACCGCTTTGTGATGTTTGTGTTCGAGCCGCAGAGTTTAACATTGCTTTTCATAGAGCAGTTTTGAAATATTCTTTTGGCAGAATCTGCAAGTGGACATTTGGAGCGCTTTCAGGCCTGTGGTGGAAAAGGCCTGAAAGCCTTTTCCTTTATCTTCACAGAAAGACGAGAGAGAAGCATTGTCAGAAACTTCTTTGTGATGATTGCATTCAACTCACAGAGTTGAAGATTCCTTTTGAAACAGCAGTTTCGAAACACTCTTTCTGTGGGATCCGCAAGGGGATATTTGGACCTCTTTGAAGGTTTCGTTGGAAACGGGATAATCTTCACCTAAAAGCTAAACGGAAGCATTCTCAGAAACTTCTTTGGGATGTTTGCATTCACCTCACAGAGTTGAACTTTCCCTTTGATAGCGCAGCTTTGACACACTTTTTCTACAATGTGCAAGTGGCTATTTAGCGGGCTTGGAGGACTGTGTTGGAAAAGGAAATATCTTCTAAAAACGACATAGAAGCATTCTCAGAAACTGCTCTGTGATGATTGCATTCAACTCCCAGAGTTGAACATTCCTTTTGATAGAGCAGTTTGCAAACACTCTTTTTGTAGAATCTGCAAGTGGAGATTTGGACCGCTTTGAGGCCTGTGGTAGTGAACGAAAGAACTTCATATAAAAACCAGACGGTAGCACTCTCAGAAAATTCTTTGTGACGATGGAGTTTAACTCAGGGAGCTGAACATTCGTTATGATGGAGCAGTTTCCAAACACACGTTTTGTAGAATCTGCAAGGGGATATTTGGACCTCTCTGAGGATTTCGTTGGAAACGGGATCAACTTCCCATAACTGAACGGAAGCAAACTCAGAACATTCTTTGTGATGTTTGTATTCAACTCACAGAGTTGAACCTTCCTTTGATAGTTCAGGTTTGCAACACCCTTGTAGTAGAATCTGCAAGTGTATATTTTGACCACTTTGTAGCCTTCGTTTGAAACATCTATATCTTCACATCAAACCTAGACAGAAGCATTCTCAGAAAGTTTTCTGCGATGACTGCATTCAACTCACAGAGTTGAACAATCCTTCTGATGGAGCAGTTTTGAAACCCTCTTTCTTTGGAATCTGCAAGGGGATATGTGGACCTCTTTGAAGATTTCACTGGAAACGGGATCATCTTCACATAAAAACTAAACAGAAGCATTCTCGGAAACTACTTTGTGATGTTTGTATTCAACTCCCAGAGTTGAACTTTCCTTTTGAAAGAGCAGCTATAAAACACTCTTTTTCGAGAATCTGCAAGTGGACGTTTGGAGGGCTTTGAGGCCTGTGGTGGAAAAGGAAATATCTTCACATAAAAACTAGATAGAAGCATTCTCAGAAACGACTTTGTGAGGATGGCATTCAACTCATGGAGTTGAACAATCCTATTGATAGAGCAGATTGGAATCACTCTTTTTGTAGAATCTGCAAATGGAGATTTGGACTGCTTTGAGGCCTACGGTCGTATAGGAAGGAACTTCATATAAAAGGCAAACGGAAGCATTCTCAGAATATTCTTTGTGATGATGGAGTTTCACTCACAGAGCTGAACATGCCTTTTGATGGAGCAGTTTCCAAATACACTTTTGGTAGAATCTGCAGGTGGATATTTGGACCACTCTGAGGATTTCGTTGGAAACGGGAATAATTTCCCATAACTAAGCACAAACACTCTGAGAAAGTTCTTCATGATGAATGCATTTAACTCGCAGAGATGAACCTGCCTTTGAGAGTTCAGGTTCGAAACACTCTTTCTGTAGAATCTGCAAGTGGATATTTGGACCACTGGGTGGCCTTCGTTCGAAACGGGTATATGTTCACGTAAAAACTAAAGAGAAGCATTCTCAGAAACTTCTGAGTGATGATTGCATTCAAGTCACACAGTTGAACCCTCCTTTTGATGGAGCAGTTTTGAAACTGTCTTTTTGTAGAATCTGTAAGTGGATACGTGGACCTCTTTGAAGATTTCTTTGGAAACGGGAATATTTCCACAGAAAAACTAAACTGAAACATTCTCAGAAACCGCTTTGTGATGTTTGTGTTCCAGCCACAGAGTTTAACATTGCTTTTCATAGAGCAGTTTTGAAATATTCTTTTGGCAGAATCTGCAAGTGGACATTTGGAGCGCTTTCAGGCCTGTGGTGGAAAAGGCCTGAAAGCCTTTTCCTTTATCTTCACAGAAAGACGAGAGAGAAGCATTGTCAGAAACTTCTTTTTGATGATTGCATTCAACTCACAGAGTTGAAGATTCCTTTTGAAACAGCAGTTTCGAAACACTCTTTCTGTGGGATCCGCAAGGGGATATTTGGACCTCTTTGAAGGTTTCGTTGGAAACGGGATAATCTTCACCTAAAAGCTAAACGGAAGCATTCTCAGAAACTTCTTTGGGATGTTTGCATTCACCTCACAGAGTTGAACTTTCCCTTTGATAGCGCAGCTTTGACACACTTTTTCTACAATGTGCAAGTGGCTATTTAGCGGGCTTGGAGGACTGTGTTGGAAAAGGAAATATCTTCTCCTAAAAACGACATAGAAGCATTCTCAGAAACTGCTCTGTGATGATTGCATTCAACTCCCAGAGTTGAACATTCCTTTTGATAGAGCAGTTTGCAAACACTCTTTTTGTAGAATCTGCAAGTGGAGATTTGGACCGCTTTGAGGCCTGTGGTAGTGAAGGAAAGAACTTCATATAAAAACCAGACGGTAGCACTCTCAGAAAATTCTTTGTGACGATGGAGTTTAACTCAGGGAGCTGAACATTCGTTATGATGGAGCAGTTTCCAAACACACGTTTTGTAGAATCTGTGAGGGGATATTTGGACCTCTCTGAGGATTTCGTTGGAAACGGGATCAACTTCCCATAACTGAACGGAAGCAAACTCAGAACATTCTTTGTGATGTTTGTATTCAACTCACAGAGTTGAACCTTCCTTTGATAGTTCAGGTTTGCAACACCCTTGTAGTAGAATCTGCAAGTGTATATTTTGACCACTTTGTAGCCTTCGTTTGAAACGTCTATATCTTCACATCAAACCTAGACAGAAGCATTCTTAGAAAGTTTTCTGCGATGACTGCATTCAACTCACAGAGTTGAACAATCCTTCTGATGGAGCAGTTTTGAAACCCTCTTTCTTTGGAATCTGCAAGGGAATATGTGGACCTCTTTGAAGATTTCACTGGAAACGGGATCATCTTCACATAAAAACTAAATATAAGCATTCTCGGAAACTACTTTGGGATGTTTGTATTCAACTCCCAGAGTTGAACTTTCCTTTTGGAAGAGCAGCTATGAAACACTCTTTTTCGAGAATCTGCAAGTGGACGTTTGGAGGGCTTTGAGGCCTGTGGTGGAAAAGGAAATATCTTCACATAAAAACTAGATAGAAGCATTCTCACAAACGACATTGTGAGGATGGAATTCAACTCATGGAGTTGAACAATCCTATTGATAGAGCAGATTGGAATCACTCTTTTTGTAGAATCTGCAAATGGAGATTTGGACTGCTTTGAGGCCTACGGTAGTATAGGAAGGAACTTCATATAAAAGGCAAACGGAAGCATTCTCAGAATATTCTTTGTGATGATGGAGTTTCACTCACAGAGCTGAACATGCCTTTTGATGGAGCAGTTTCCAAATACACTTTTGGTAGAATCTGCAGGTGGATATTTGGAGCTCTCTGAGGATTTCGTTGGAAACGGGAATAATTTCCCATAACTAAACACAAACACTCTGAGAAAGTTCTTCATGATGAATGCATTTAACTCGCAGAGATGAACCTGCCTTTGAGAGTTCAGGTTCGAAACACTCTTTCTGTAGAATCTGCAAGTGGATATTTGGACCACTGGGTGGCCTTCGTTCGAAACGGGTATATGTTCACATAAAAACTAAAAAGAAGCATTCTCAGAAACTTCTGAGTGATGATTGCATTCAAGTCACATAGTTGAACCCTCCTTTTGATGGAGTAGTTCTGAAACTGTCTTTTTGTAGAATCTGTAAGTGGATACGTGGACCTCTTTGAAGATTTCTTTGGAAACGGGAATATTTCCACAGAAAAACTAAACTGAAGCATTCTCAGAAACTGCTTTGTGATGTTTGTGTTCGAGCCACAGAGTTTAACATTGCTTTTCATAGAGCAGTTTTGAAATATTCTTTTCGCAGAATCTGCAAGTGGACATTTGGAGCGCTTTCAGGCCTGTGGTGGAAAAGGCCTGAAAGCCTTTTCCTTTATCTTCACAGAAAGACGAGAGAGAAGCATTGTCAGAAACTTCTTTGTGATGATTGCATTCAACTCACAGAGTTGAAGATTCCTTTTGAAACAGCAGTTTCGAAACACTCTTTCTGTGGGATCCGCAAGGGGATATTTGGACCTCTTTGAAGGTTTCGTTGGAAACGGGATAATCTTCACCTAAAAGCTAAACGGAAGCATTCTCAGAAACTTCTTTGGGATGTTTGCATTCACCTCACAGAGTTGAACTTTCCCTTTGATAGCGCAGCTTTGACACACTTTTTCTACAATGTGCAAGTGGCTATTTAGCGGACTTGGAGGACTGTGTTGGAAAAGGAAATATCTTCTCCTAAAAACGACATAGAAGCATTCTCAGAAACTGCTCTGTGATGATTGCATTCAACTCCCAGAGTTGAACATTCCTTTTGATAGAACAGTTTGCAAACACTCTTTTTGTAGAATCTGCAAGTGGAGATTTGGACCGCTTTGAGGCCTGTGGTAGTGAAGGAAAGAACTTCATATAAAAACCAGACGGTAGCACTCTCAGAAAATTCTTTGTGACGATGGAGTTTAACTCAGGGAGCTGAACATTCGTTATGATGGAGCAGTTTCCAAACACACGTTTTGTAGAATCTGCAAGGGGATATTTGGACCTCTCTGAGGATTTCGTTGGAAACGGGATCAACTTCCCATAACTGAACGGAAGCAAACTCAGAACATTCTTTGTGATGTTTGTATTCAACTCACAGAGTTGAACCTTCCTTTGATAGTTCAGGTTTGCAACACCCTTGTAGTAGAATCTGCAAGTGTATATTTTGACCACTTTGTAGCCTTCGTTTGAAACGTCTATATCTTCACATCAAACCTAGACAGAAGCATTCTCAGAAAGTTTTCTGCGATGACTGCATTCAACTCACAGAGTTGAACAATCCTTCTGATGGAGCAGTTTTGAAACCCTCTTTCTTTGGAATCTGCAAGGGGATATGTGGACCTCTTTGAAGATTTCACTGGAAACGGGATCATCTTCACATAAAAACTAAACAGAAGCATTCTCGGAAACTACTTTGTGATGTTTGTATTCAACTCCCAGAGTTGAACTTTCCTTTTGAAAGAGCAGCTATGAAACACTCTTTTTCGAGAATCTGCAAGTGGACGTTTGGAAGGCTTTGAGTCCTGTGGTGGAAAAGAAAATATCTTCACATAAAAACTAGATAGAAGCATTCTCAGAAACTACTTTGTGAGGATGGCATTCAACACATGGAGTTGAACAATCCTATTGATAGAGCAGATTGGAATCACTCTTTTTGTAGAATCTGCAAATGGAGATTTGGACTGCTTTGAGGCCTACGGTCGTATAGGAAGGAACTTCATATAAAAGCAAACGGAAGCATTCTCAGAATATTCTTTGTGATGATGGAGTTTCACTCACAGAGCTGAACATGCCTTTTGATGGAGCAGTTTCCAAATACACTTTTGGTAGAATCTGCAGGTGGAAATTTAGAGCTCTCTGAGGATTTCGTTGGAAACGGGAATAATTTCCCATAACTAAACACAAACACTCTGAGAAAGTTCTTCATGATGAATGCATTTAACTCGCAGAGATGAACCTGCCTTTGAGAGTTCAGGTTCGAAACACTCTTTCTGTAGAATCTGCAAGTGGATATTTGGACCACTGGGTGGCCTTCTTTCGAAACGGGTATATGTTCACGTAAAAACTAAAGAGAAGCATTCTCAGAAACTTCTGAGTGATGATTGCATTCAAGTCACACAGTTGAACCCTCCTTTTGATGGAGCAGTTTTGAAACTGTCTTTTTGTAGAATCTGTAAGTGGATACGTGGACCTCTTTGAAGATTTCTTTGGAAACGGGAATATTTCCACAGAAAAACTAAACTGAAGCATTCTCAGAAACCGCTTTGTGATGTTTGTGTTCGAGCCACAGAGTTTAACATTGCTTTTCATAGAGCAGTTTTGAAATATTCTTTTCGCAGAATCTGCAAGTGGACATTTGGAGCGCTTTCAGGCCTGTGGTGGAAAAGGCCTGAAAGCCTTTTCCTTTATCTTCACAGAAAGACGAGAGAGAAGCATTGTCAGAAACTTCTTTGTGATGATTGCATTCAACTCAGAGTTGAAGATTCCTTTTGAAACAGCAGTTTCGAAACACTCTTTCTGTGGGATCCGCAAGGGGATATTTGGACCTCTTTGAAGGTTTCGTTGGAAACGGGATAATCTTCACCTAAAAGCTAAACGGAAGCATTCTCATAAACTTCTTTGGGATGTTTGCTTTCACCTCACAGAGTTGAACTTTCCCTTTGATAGCGCAGCTTTGACACACTTTTTCTACAATGTGCAAGTGGCTCTTTAGCGGGCTTGGAGGACTGTGTTGGAAAAGGAAATATCTTCTCCTAAAAACGACATAGAAGCATTCTCAGAAACTGCTCTGTGATGATTGCATTCAACTCCCAGAGTTGAACGTTCCTTTTGATAGAGCAGTTTGCAAACACTCTTTTTGTAGAATCTGCAAGTGGAGATTTGGACCGCTTTGAGGCCTGTGGTAGTGAAGGAAAGAGCTTCATATAAAAACCAGACGGTAGCACTCTCAGAAAATTCTTTGTGACGATGGAGTTTAACTCAGGGAGCTGAACATTCGTTATGATGGAGCAGTTTCCAAACACACGTTTTGTAGAATCTGCAAGGGGATATTTGGACCTCTCTGAGGATTTCGTTGGAAACGGGATCAACTTCCCATAACTGAACGGAAGCAAACTCAGAACATTCTTTGTGATGTTTGTATTCAACTCACAGGGTTGAACCTTCCTTTGATAGTTCAGGTTTGCAACACCCTTGTAGTAGAATCTGCAAGTGTATATTTTGACCACTTTGTAGCCTTCGTTTGAAACGTCTATATCTTCACATCAAACCTAGACAGAAGCATTCTCAGAAAGTTTTCTGCGATGACTGCATTCAACTCACAGAGTTGAACAATCCTTCTGATGGAGCAGTTTTGAAACCCACTTTCTTTGGAATCTGCAAGGGGATATGTGGACCTCTTTGAAGATTTCACTGGAAACGGGATCATCTTCACATAAAAACTAAACAGAAGCATTCTCGGAAACTACTTTGTGATGTTTGTATTCAACTCCCAGAGTTGAACTTTCCTTTTGAAAGAGCAGCTATGAAACTCTCTTTTTCGAGAATCTGCAAGTGGACGTTTGGAGGGCTTTGAGGCCTGTGGTGGAAAAGGAAATATCTTCACATAAAAACTAGATAGAAGCATTCTCAGAAACGACTTTGTGAGGATGGCATTCAACTCATGGAGTTGAACAATCCTATTGATAGAGCAGATTGGAATCACTCTTTTTGTAGAATCTGCAAATGGAGATTTGGACTGCTTTGAGGCCTACGGTCGTATAGGAAGGAACTTCATATAAAAGGCAAACGGAAGCATTCTCAGAATATTCTTTGTGATGATGGAGTTTCACTCACAGAGCTGAACATGCCTTTTGATGGAGCAGTTTCCAAATACACTTTTGGTAGAATCTGCAGGTGGATATTTGGAGCTCTCTGAGGATTTCGTTGGAAACGGGAATAATTTCCCATAACTAAACACAAACACTCTGAGAAAGTTCTTCATGATGAATGCATTTAACTCGCAGAGATGAACCTGCCTTTGAGAGTTCAGGTTCGAAACACTCTTTCTGTAGAATCTGCAAGTGGATATTTGGACCACTGGCTGGCCTTCGTTCGAAACGGGTATATGTTCACGTAAAAACTAAAGAGAAGCATTCTCAGAAACTTCTGAGTGATGATTACATTCAAGTCACACAGTTGAACCCTCCTTTTGATTGAGCAGTTTTGAAACTGTCTTTTTGTAAAATCTGTAAGTGGATACGTGGACCTCTTTGAATATTTCTTTGGAAACGGGAATATTTCCACAGAAAAACTAAACTGAAGCATTCTCAGAAACTGCTATGTGATGTTTGTGTTCGAGCCACAGAGTTTAACATTGCTTTTCATAGAGCAGTTTTGAAATATTCTTTTGGCAGAATCTGCAAGTGGACATTTGGAGCGCTTTCAGGCCTGTGGTTGAAAAGGCCTGAAAGCCTTTTCCTTTATCTTCACAGAAAGACGAGAGAGAAGCATTGTCAGAAACTTCTTTGTGATGATTGCATTCAACTCACAGAGTTGAAGATTCCTTTTGAAACAGCAGTTTCGAAACACTCTTTCTGTGGGATCCGCAAGGGGATATTTGGACCTCTTTGAAGGTTTCGTTGGAAACGGGATAATCTTCACCTAAAAGCTAAACGGAAGCACTCTCAGAAACTTCTTTGGGATGTTTGCATTCACCTCACAGAGTTGAACTTTCCCTTTGATAGCGCAGCTTTGACACACTTTTTCTACAATGTGCAAGTGGATATTTAGCGGGCGTGGAGGACTGTGTTGGAAAAGGAAATATCTTCTCCTAAAAACGACATAGAAGCATTCTCAGAAACTGCTCTGTGATGATTGCATTCAACTCCCAGAGTTGAACATTCCTTTTGATAGAGCAGTTTGCAAACACTCTTTTTGTAGAATCTGCAAGTGGAGATTTGGACCGCTTTGAGGCCTGTGGTAGTGAAGGAAAGAACTTCATATAAAAACCAGACGGTAGCACTCTCAGAAAATTCTTTGTGACGATGGAGTTTAACTCAGGGAGCTGAACATTCGTTATGATGGAGCAGTTTCCAAACACACGTTTTGTAGAATCTGCAAGGGGATATTTGGACCTCTCTGAGGATTTCGTTGGAAACGGGATCAACTTCCCATAACTGAACGGAAGCAAACTCAGAACATTCTTTGTGATGTTTGTATTCAACTCACAGAGTTGAACTTTCCTTTGATAGTTCAGGTTTGCAACACCCTTGTAGTAGAATCTGCAAGTGTATATTTTGACCACTTTGTAGCCTTCGTTTGAAACGTCTATATCTTCACATCAAACCTAGACAGAAGCATTCTCAGAAAGTTTTCTGCGATGACTGCATTCAACTCACAGAGTTGAACAATCCTTCTGATGGAGCAGTTTTGAAACCCTCTTTCTTTGGAATCTGCAAGGGGATATGTGGACCTCTTTGAAGATTTCACTGGAAACGGGATCATCTTCACATAAAAACTAAACAGAAGCATTCTCGGAAACTACTTTGTGATGTTTGTATTCAACTCCCAGAGTTGAACTTTCCTTTTGAAAGAGCAGCTATGAAACACTCTTTTTCGAGAATCTGCAAGTGGACGTTTGGAGGGCTTTGAGGCCTGTGGTGGAAAAGGAAATATCTTCACATAAAAACTAGATAGAAGCATTCTCAGAAACGACTTTGTGAGGATGGCATTCAACTCATGGAGTTGAACAATCCTATTGATAGAGCAGATTGGAATCACTCTTTTTGTAGAATCTGCAAATGGAGATTTGCACTGCTTTGAGGCCTACGGTCGTATAGGAAGGAACTTCATATAAAAGGCAAACGGAAGCATTCTCAGAATATTCTTTGTGATGATGGAGTTTCACTCACAGAGCTGAACATGCCTGTTGATGGAGCAGTTTCCAAATACACTTTTGGTAGAATCTGCAGGTGGACATTTGGACCTCTCTGAGGATTTCGTTGGGAACGGGAATAATTTCCCATAACTAAACACAAACACGCTGAGAAAGTTCTTCATGATGAATGCATTTAACTCGCAGAGATGAACCTGCCTTTGAGAGTTCAGGTTCGAAACACTCTTTCTGTAGAATCTGCAAGTGGGTATTTGGACCACTGGGTGGCCTTCGTTCGAAACGGGTATATGTTCACGTAAAAACTAAAGAGAAGCATTCTCAGAAACTTCTGAGTGATGATTGCATTCAAGTCACACAGTTGAACCCTCCTTTTGATGGAGCAGTTTTGAAACTGTCTTTTTGTAGAATCTGTAAGTGGATACGTGGACCTCTTTGAAGATTTCTTTGGAAACGGGAATATTTCCACAGAAAAACTAAACTGAAGCATTCTCAGAAACCGCTTTGTGATGTTTGTGTTCGAGCCACAGAGTTTAACATTGCTTTTCATAGAGCAGTTTTGAAATATTCTTTTCGCAGAATCTGCAAGTGGACATTTGGAGCGCTTTCAGGCCTGTGGTGGAAAAGGCCTGAAAGCCTTTTCCTTTATCTTCACAGAAAGACGAGAGAGAAGCATTGTCAGAAACTTCTTTGTGATGATTGCATTCAACTCACAGAGTTGAAGATTCCTTTTGAAACAGCAGTTTCGAAACACTCTTTCTGTGGGATCCGCAAGGGGATATTTGGACCTCTTAGAAGGTTTCGTTGGAAACGGGATTATCTTCACCTAAAAGCTAAACGGAAGCATTCTCAGAAACTTCTTTGGGATGTTTGCATTCACCTCACAGAGTTGAACTTTCCCTTTGATAGCGCAGCTTTGACACACTTTTTCTACAATGTGCAAGTGGCTATTTAGCGGGCTTGGAGGACTGTGTTGGAAAAGGAAATATCTTCTCCTAAAAACGACATAGAAGCATTCTCAGAAACTGCTCTGTGATGATTGCATTCAACTCCCAGAGTTGAACATTCCTTTTGATAGAGCAGTTTGCAAACACTCTTTTTGTAGAATCTGCAAGTGGAGATTTGGACCGCGTTGAGGCCTGTGGTAGTGAAGGAAAGAACTTCATATAAAAACCAGACGGTAGCACTCTCAGAAAATTCTTTGTGACGATGGAGTTTAACTCAGGGAGCTGAACATTCGTTATGATGGAGCAGTTTCCAAACACACGTTTTGTAGAATCTGCAAGGGGATATTGGGACCTCTCTGAGGATTTCGTTGGAAACGGGATCAACTTCCCATAACTGAACGGAAGCAAACTCAGAACATTCTTTGTGATGTTTGTATTCAACTCACAGAGTTGAACCTTCCTTTGATAGTTCAGGTTTGCAACACCCTTGTAGTAGAATCTGCAAGTGTATATTTTGACCACTTTGTAGCCTTCGTTTGAAACGTCTATATCTTCACATCAAACCTAGACAGAAGCATTCTCAGAAAGTTTTCTGCGATGACTGCATTCAACTCACAGAGTTGAACAATCCTTCTGATGGAGCAGTTTTGAAACCCTCTTTCTTTGGAATCTGCAAGGGGATATGTGGACCTCTTTGAAGATTTCACTGGAAACGGGATCATCTTCACATAAAAACTAAACAGAAGCATTCTCGGAAACTACTTTGTGATGTTTGTATTCAACTCCCAGAGTTGAACTTTCCTTTTGAAAGAGCAGCTATGAAACACTCTTTTTCGAGAATCTGCAAGTGGACGTTTGGAGGGCTTTGAGGCCTGTGGTGGAAAAGGAAATATCTTCACATAAAAACTAGATAGAAGCATTCTCAGAAACTACTTTGTGAGGATGGCATTCAACTCATGGAGTTGAACAATCCTATTGATAGAGCAGATTGGAATCACTCTTTTTGTAGAATCTGCAAATGGAGATTTGGACTGCTTTGAGGCCTACAGTAGTACAGGAAGGAACTTCATATAAAAGGCAAACGGAAGCATTCTCAGAATATTCTTTGTGATGATGGAGTTTCACTCACAGAGCTGAACATGCCTTTTGATGGAGCAGTTTCCAAATACACTTTTGGTAGAATCTGCAGGTGGATATTTGGAGCTCTCTGAGGATTTCGTTGGAAACGGGAATAATTTCCCATAACTAAACACAAACACTCTGAGAAAGTTCTTCATGATGAATGCATTTAACTCGCAGAGATGAACCTGCCTTTGAGAGTTCAGGTTCGAAACACTCTTTCTGTATAATCTGCAAGTGGATATTTGGACCACTGGGTGGCCTTCGTTCGAAACGGGTATATGTTCACGTAAAAACTAAAGAGAAGCATTCTCAGAAACTTCTGAGTGATGATTGCATTCAAGTCACACAGTTGAACCCTCCTTTTGATGGAGCAGTTTTGAAACTGTCTTTTTGTAGAATCTGTAAGTGGATACGTGGACCTCTTTGAAGATTTCTTTGGAAACGGGAATACTTCCACAGAAAAACTAAACTGAAGCATTCTCAGAAACCGCTTTGTGATGTTTGTGTTCGAGCCGCAGAGTTTAACATTGCTTTTCATAGAGCAGTTTTGAAATATTCTTTTCGCAGAATCTGCAAGTGGACATTTGGAGCGCTTTCAGGCCTGTGGTGGCAAAGGCCTGAAAGCCTTTTCCTTTATCTTCACAGAAAGACGAGAGAGAAGCATTGTCAGAAACTTCTTTGTGATGATTGCATTCAACTCACAGAGTTGAAGATTCCTTTTGAAACAGCAGTTTCGGAACACTCTTTCTGTGGGATCCGCAAGGGGATATTTGGACCTCTTTGAAGGTTTCGTTGGAAACGGGATAATCTTCACCTAAAAGCTAAACGGAAGCATTCTCAGAAACTTCTTTGGGATGTTTGCATTCACCTCACAGAGTTGAACTTTCCCTTTGATAGCGCAGCTTTGACACACTTTTTCTACAATGTGCAAGTGGCTATTTAGCGGGCTTGGAGGATTGTGTTGGAAAAGGAAATATCTTCTCCTAAAAACGACATAGAAGCATTCTCAGAAACTGCTCTGTGATGATTGCATTCAACTCCCAGAGTTGAACATTCCTTTTGATAGAGCAGTTTGCAAACACTCTTTTTGTAGAATCTGCAAGTGGAGATTTGGACCGCTTTGAGGCCTGTGGTAGTGAAGGAAAGAACTTCATATAAAAACCAGACGGTAGCACTCTCAGAAAATTCTTTGTGACGATGGAGTTTAACTCAGGGAGCTGAACATTCGTTATGATGGAGCAGTTTCCAAACACACTTTTTGTAGAATCTGCAAGGGGATATTTGGACCTCTCTGAGGATTTCGTTGGAAACGGGATCAACTTCCCATAACTGAACGGAAGCAAACTCAGAACATTCTTTGTGATGTTTGTATTCAACTCACAGAGTTGAACCTTCCTTTGATAGTTCAGGTTTGCAACACCCTTGTAGTAGAATCTGCAAGTGTATATTTTGACCACTTTGTAGCCTTCGTTTGAAACATCTATATCTTCACATCAAACCTAGACAGAAGCATTCTCAGAAAGTTTTCTGCGATGACTGCATTCAACTCACAGAGTTGAACAATCCTTCTGATGGAGCAGTTTTGAAACCCTCTTTCTTTGGAATCTGCAAGGGGATATGTGGACCTCTTTGAAGATTTCACTGGAAACGGGATCATCTTCACATAAAAACTAAACTGAAGCATTCTCGGAAACTATTTTGTGATGTTTGTATTCAACTCCCAGAGTTGAACTTTCCTTTTGAAAGAGCAGCTATGAAACACTCTTTTTCGAGAATCTGCAAGTGGACGTTTGGAGGGCTTTGAGGCCTGTGGTGGAAAAGGAAATATCTTCACACAAAAACCAGATAGAAGCATTCTCAGAAACTACTTTGTGAGGATGGCATTCAACTCATGGAGTTGAACAATCCTATTGATAGAGCAGATTGGAATCACTCTTTTTGTAGAATCTGCAAATGGAGATTTGGACTGCTTTGAGGCCTACGGTAGTACAGGAAGGAACTTCATATAAAAGACAAACGGAAGCATTCTCAGAATATTCTTTGTGATGATGGAGTTTCACTCACAGAGCTGAACATGCCTTTTGATGGAGCAGTTTCCAAATACACTTTTGGTAGAATCTGCAGGTGGATATTTGGAGCTCTCTGAGGATTTCTTTGGAAACGGGAATAATTTCCCATAACTAAACACAAACACTCTGAGAAAGTTCTTCATGATGAATGCATTTAACTCGCAGAGATGAACCTTCCTTTGAGAGTTCAGGTTCGAAACACTCTTTCTGTAGAATCTGCAAGCGGATATTTGGACCACTGGGTGGCCTTCGTTCGAAACGGGTATATGTTCACGTAAAAACTAAAGAGAAGCATTCTCAGAAACTTCTGAGTGATGATTGCATTCAAGTCACACAGTTGAACCCTCCTTTTGATGGAGCAGTTTTGAAACTGTCTTTTTGTAGAATCTGTAAGTGGATACGTGGACCTCTTTGAAGATTTCTTTGGAAACGGGAATATTTCCACAGAAAAACTAAACTGAAGCATTCTCAGAAACCGCTTTGTGATGTTTGTGTTCGAGCCACAGAGTTTAACATTGCTTTTCATAGAGCAGTTTTGAAATATTCTTTTCGCAGAATCTGCAAGTGGACATTTGGAGCGCTTTCAGGCCTGTGGTGGCAAAGGCCTGAAAGCCTTTTCCTTTATCTTCACAGAAAGACGAGAGAGAAGCATTGTCAGAAACTTCTTTGTGATGATTGCATTCAACTCACAGAGTTGAAGATTCCTTTTGAAACAGCAGTTTCGAAACACTCTTTCTGTGGGATCCGCAAGGGGATATTTGGACCTCTTTGAAGGTTTCGTTGGAAACGGGATAATCTTCACCTAAAAGCTAAACGGAAGCATTCTCAGAAACTTCTTTGGGATGTTTGCATTCACCTCACAGAGTTGAACTTTCCCTTTGATAGCGCAGCTTTGACACACTTTTTCTACAATGTGCAAGTGGCTATTTAGCGGGCTTGGGGGACTGTGTTGGAAAAGGAAATATCTTCTCCTAAAAACGACATAGAAGCATTCTCAGAAACTGCTCTGTGATGATTGCATTCAACTCCCAGAGTTGAACATTCCTTTTGATAGAGCAGTTTGCAAACACTCTTTTTGTAGAATCTGCAAGTGGAGATTTGGACCGCTTTGAGGCCTGTGGTAGTGAAGGAAAGAACTTCATATAAAAACCAGACGGTAGCACTCTCAGAAAATTCTTTGTGACGATGGAGTTTAACTCAGGGAGCTGAACATTCGTTATGATGGAGCAGTTTCCGAACACACGTTTTGTAGAATCTGCAAGGGGATATTTGGACCTCTCTGAGGATTTCGTTGGAAACGGGATCAACTTCCCATAACTGAACGGAAGCAAACTCAGAACATTCTTTGTGATGTTTGTATTCAACTCCCAGAGTTGAAATTTCCTTTTGAAAGAGCAGCTATGAAACACTCTTTTTCGAGAATCTGCAAGTGGACTTTTGGAGGGCTTTGAGGCCTGTGGTGGAAAAGGAAATATCTTCACATAAAAACTAGATAGAAGCATTCTCAGAAACTACTTTGTGAGGATGGCATTCAACTCACGGAGTTGAACAATCCTATTGATAGAGCAGATTGGAAACACTCTTTTTGTAGAATCTGTAAATGGAGATTTGGACTGCTTTGAGGCCTACGGTAGTATAGGAAGGAACTTCATATAAAAAGCAAACGGAAGCATTCTCAGAATATTCTTTGTGATGATGGAGTTTAACTCACAGAGCTGAACATGCCTTTTGATGGAGCAGTTTCCAAATACACTTTTAGTAGAATCTGCAAGTGGATATTTGGACCTCTCTGAGGATTTCGTTGGAAATGGGAAAGACTTCCCATGACTAAACACAAACATTCTGAGAAAGTTCTTCATGATGAATGCATTTAACTCACAGTGATGAACCTTCCTTTGAGAGTTCAGGTTTGAAACACTCTTTCTGTAGAATCTGCAAGTGGATATTTGGACAACTGTGTGGCCTTCGTTCGAAACGGGTATATGTTCACGTAAAAACTAAAGAGAAGCATTCTGAGAAACTTCTGTGTGATGATTGCATTCAAGTCACAGGGTTGAACCCTCCTTTTGATTGAGCAGTTTTGAATCTGTCTTTTTGTAGAATCTGTAAGTGGATATGTGGACCTCTTTGAAGATTTCTTTGGAAATGGGATTATCTCCACAGAAAAACTAAACTGAAGCATTCTCAGAAACTGATTTGTGATGTTTGTGTTCGAGCCACAGAGTTTAACATTGCTTTTCATAGAGCAGTTTTGAAACATTCTGTTCGCAGAATCTGCAAGAGGACATTTGGAGCGCTTTCAGGCCTGTGGTGGAAAAGGAAATATCTTCACATAAAGACGAGAGAGAAGCATTCTCAGAAACTTCTTTGTGATGATTGCATTCAATTCACAGAGTTGAAGACTCCTTTTGAAACAGCAGTTTCGAAACACTCTTTCTGTGGGATCCGCAAGGGGATATTTGGACCTCTTTGAAGATTTCGTTGGAAACGGGATAATCTTCACCTAAAAGCTAAACGGAAGCATTCTCAGAAACTTCTTTGGGACGTTTGCATTCACCTCACACAGTTGAACTTTCCCTTTGATAGCGCAGCTTTAACACACTTTTTCTAGAATGTGCAAGTGGATATTTAGCGGGCTTGGAGGACTGTGGTGGAAAAGGAAATATCTACTCCTAAGAACCACATAGAAGCATTCTCAGAAACTGCTCTGTGATGAATGCATTCAACTCCCAGAGTTGAACATTCATTTTGATAGAGCAGTTTGCAATCACTCCTTTGTAGAATCTGCAAGTGGAGATTTGGACCGCTTTGAGGCCTGTGGTAGTAAAGGAAAGAACTTCACATGAAACGTAGACAGTAGCACTCTCACAAAATTCCTTGTGACGATTGAGTTTAACTCAGAGAGCTGAACATTCGTTTTGATGGAGCAGTTTCCAAACACACTTTTTGTAGAATCTGCAAGGGGATATTTAGACCTCTCTGAGGATTTCGTTGGAAACGGGATCAACTTCCCATAACTGAACGGAGGCATTCTCAGAAACATCTTTGTGATGTTTGCATTCAACTCAGAGAGTGCAAACTTCCTTTGATAGTGCAAGTTTGCAACACCCTTGTAGTAGAATCTGCAAGTGTATATTTTGACCACTTTGTAGCCTTCGTTTGAAACGTCTATATCTTCACATCAAACCTAGACAGAAGCATTCTCACAAAGTTTTCTGCGATGACTGCATTCAACTCACAGAGTTGAACAATCCATTTGATGGAGCAGTTTTGAAACCCTCTTTCTTTGGAATCTGCAAGGGCATATGTGGACCTCTTTGAAGATTTCATTGGAAACGGGATCATCTTCACATAAAAACTAAAGAGAAGCATTCTCGAAAACTACTTTGTGATGTTTGTATTCAACTCCGAGAGTTGAACTTTCCTGTTGAAAGAGCAGCTATGAAACACCCTTTTTCGAGAATCTGCAAGTGGACGTTTGGAGGGCTTTGAGACCTGTGGTGGAAAAGGAAATATCTTCACATAAAAACTAGATAGAAGCATTCTCAGAAACGACTTTGTGAGGATGGCATTCACCTCACGGAGTTGAACAATCCTATTGATAAAGCAGATTGGAAACACTCTTTTTATAGAATCTGCAAATGGAGATTTGGACTGCTTTGAGGCCTACGGTAGTATAGGAAGGAACTTCATATAAAAAGCAAACGGAAGCATTCTCAGAATATTCTTTGTGATGATGGGGTTTAACTCACAGAGTTGAACATGCCTTTTGATGGAGCAGTTTCCAAATACACTTTTGGTAGAATCTGCAAGTGGATATTTGGACCTCTCTGAGGATTTCGTTGGAAACGGGAAATACTTCCCATAACTAAACAAAAACATTCTGAGAATGTTCTTCATGATGAATGCATTTAACTCACAGAGATGAACCTTCCTTTGAAAGTTCAGGTTTGAAAGACTCTTTCTGTAAAATCTGCAAGTGGATATTTGAACCACTGGGTGGCCTTCGTTCGAAACGGGTATATGTTCACGTAAAAACTAAGGAGAAGCATTCTCAGAAACTTCTGTGTGATGATTGCATTCAAGTCACACAGTTGAACCCTCCTTTTGATTGAGCAGTTTTGAATCTGTCTTTTTGTAGAATCTGTAAGTGGATATGTGGACCTCTTTGAAGATTTCTTTGGAAATGGGAATATCTCCACAGAAAAACTAAACTGAAGCATTCTCAGAAACTGATTTGTGATGTTTGTGTTCGAGCCACAGAGTTTAACATTGCTTTTCATAGAGCAGTTTTGAAACATTCTGTTCGCAGAATCTGCAAGTGGACATTTGGAGCGCTTTCAGGCCTGTGGTGGAAAAGGTCTGAAAGCCTTTTCCTTTATCTTCACATAAAGACGAGAGAGAAGCATTGCCAGAAACTTCTTTGTGATGATTGCATTCAACTCACAGAGTTGAAGATTCCTTTTGAAACAGCAGTTTCGAAACACTCTTTCTGTGGGATCCACAAGGGGATATTTGGAACTCTTTGAAGATTTCGTTGGAAACGGGATAATCTCACCTAAAAGCTAAACGGAAGCATTCTCAGAAACTTCTTTAGGATGTTTGCATTCACCTCACAGAGTTGAACTTTCCCTTTGATAGCGCAGCTTTGACACACTTTTTCTACAATGTGCAAGTGGCTATTTAGCGGGCTTGGAGGACTGTGTTGGAAAAGGAAATATCTTCTCCTAAAAACGACATAGAAGCATTCTCAGAAACTACTCTGTGATGATTGCATTCAACTCCCAGAGTTGAACATTCCTTTTGATAGAGCAGTTTGCAAACACTCTTTTTGTAGAATCTGCAAGTGGAGATTTGGACCGCCTTGAGGCCTGTGGTAGTAAAGGAAAGAACTTCATATAAAAACTAGACGGTAGCACTCTCAGAAAATTCTTTGTGACGATGGAGTTTAACTCAGGGAGCTGAACATTCGTTATGATGGAGCAGTTTCCAAACACACGTTTTGTAGAATCTGCGAGGGGATATTTGGACCTCTCTGAGGATTTCGTTGGAAAAGGGATCAACTTCCCATAACTGAACGGAAGCAAACTCAGAACATTCTTTGTGATGTTTGTATTCAACTCACAGAGTTGAACCTTCCTTTGATAGTTCAGGTTTGCAACACCCTTGTAGTAGAATCTGCAAGTGTATATTTTGACCACTTTGTAGCCTTCGTTTGAAACGTCTATATCTTCACATCAAACCTAGACAGAAGCATTCTCAGAAAGTTTTCTGCGATGACTGCATTCAACTCACAGAGTTGAACAATCCTTCTGATGGAGCAGTTTTGAAACCCTCTTTCTTTGGAATCTGCAAGGGGATATGTGGACCTCTTTGAAAGATTTCACTGGAAACGGGATCATCTTCACATAAAAACTAAACAGAAGCATTCTCGGAAACTACTTTGTGATGTTTGTATTCAACTCCCAGAGTTGAACTTTCCTTTTGAAAGAGCAGCTATGAAACACTCTTTTTCGAGAATCTGCAAGTGGACGTTTGGAGGGCTTTGAGGCCTGTGGTGGAAAAGGAAATATCTTCACATAAAAACTAGATAGAAGCATTCTCAGAAACTACTTTGTGAGGATGGCATTCAACTCATGGAGTTGAACAGTCCTATTGATAGAGCAGATTGGAATCACTCTTTTTGTAGAATCTGCAAATGGAGATTTGGACTGCTTTGAGGCCTACGGTAGTATAGGAAGGAACTTCATATAAAAGGCAAACGGAAGCATTCTCAGAATATTCTTTGTGATGATGGAGTTTCACTCACAGAGCTGAACATGCCTTTTGATGGAGCAGTTTCCAAATACACTTTTGGTAGAATCTGCAGGTGGATATTTGGAGCTCTCTGAGGATTTCGTTGGAAACGGGAATAATTTCCCATAACTAAACACAAACACGCTGAGAAAGTTCTTCATGATGAATGCATTTAACTCGCAGAGATGAACCTGCCTTTGAGAGTTCAGGTTCGAAACACTCTTTCTGTAGAATCTGCAAGTGGATATTTGGACCACTGGCTGGCCTTCGTTCGAAACGGGTATATGTTCACGTAAAAACTAAAGAGAAGCGTTCTCAGAAACTTCTGAGTGATGATTGCATTCAAGTCACACAGTTGAACCCTCCTTTTGATTGAGCAGTTTTGAAACTGTCTTTTTGTAGAATCTGTAAGTGGATGCGTGGACCTCTTTGAAGATTTCTTTGGAAACGGGAATATTTCCACAGAAAAACTTAACCGAAGCATTCTCAGAAACCGCTTTGTGATGTTTGTGTTCGAGCCACAGAGTTTAACATTGCTTTTCATAGAGCAGTTTTGAAATATTCTTTTGGCAGAATCTGCAAGTGGACATTTGGAGCGCTTTCAGGCCTGTGGTGGAAAAGGCCTGAAAGCCTTTTCCTTTATCTTCACAGAAAGACGAGAGAGAAGCATTGTCAGAAACTTCTTTGTGATGATTGCATTCAACTCACAGAGTTGAAGATTCCTTTTGAAACAGCAGTTTCGAAACACTCTTTCTGTGGGATCCGCAAGGGGATATTTGGACCTCTTTGAAGGTTTCGTTGGAAACGGGATAATCTTCACCTAAAAGCTAAACGGAAGCATTCTCAGAAACTTCTTTGGGATGTTTGCATTCACCTCACAGAGTTGAACTTTCCCTTTGATAGCGCAGCTTTGACACACTTTTTCTACAATGTGCAAGTGGCTATTTAGCGGGCTTGGAGGACTGTGTTGGAAAAGGAAATATCTTCTCCTAAAAACGACATAGAAGCATTCTCAGAAACTGCTCTGTGATGATTGCATTCAACTCCCAGAGTTGAACATTCCTTTTGATAGAGCAGTTTGCAAACACTCTTTTTGTAGAATCTGCAAGTGGAGATTTGGACCGCTTTGAGGCCTGTGGTAGTGAAGGAAAGAACTTCATATAAAAACCAGACGGTAGCACTCTCAGAAAATTCTTTGTGACGATGGAGTTTAACTCAGGGAGCTGAACATTCGTTATGATGGAGCAGTTTCCAAACACACGTTTTGTAGAATCTGCAAGGGGATATTTGGACCTCTCTGAGGATTTCGTTGGAAACGGGATCAACTTCCCATAACTGAACGGAAGCAAACTCAGAACATTCTTTGTGATGTTTGTATTCAACTCACAGAGTTGAACCTTCCTTTGATAGTTCAGGTTTGCAACACCCTTGTAGTAGAATCTGCAAGTGTATATTTTGACCACTTTGTAGCCTTCGTTTGAAACCTCTATATCTTCACATCAAACCTAGACAGAAGCATTCTCAGAAAGTTTTCTGCGATGACTGCATTCAACTCACAGAGTTGAAGAATCCTTTTGATGGAGCAGTTTTGAAACCCTCTTTCTTTGGAATCTGCAAGGGGATATGTGGACCTCTTTGAAGATTTCACTGGAAACGGGATCATCTTCACATAAAAACTAAACAGAAGCATTCTCGGAAACTATTTTGTGATGTTTGTATTCAACTCCCAGAGTTGAACTTTCCTTTTGAAAGAGCAGCTATGAAACACTCTTTTTCGAGAATCTGCAAGTGGTCGTTTGGAGGGCTTTGAGGCCTGTGGTGGTAAAGGAAATATCTTCACACAAAAACCAGATAGAAGCATTCTCAGAAACTACTTTGTGAGGATGGCATTCAACTCATGGAGTTGAACAATCCTATTGATAGAGCAGATTGGAATCACTCTTTTTGTAGAATCTGCAAATGGAGATTTGGACTGCTTTGAGGCCTACGGTCGTATAGGAAGGAACTTCATATAAAAGGCAAACGGAAGCATTCTCAGAATATTCTTTGTGATGATGGAGTTTCACTCACAGAGCTGAACATGCCTTTTGATGGAGCAGTTTCCAAATACACTTTTGGTAGAATCTGCAGGTGGATATTTGGAGCTCTCTGAGGATTTCGTTGGAAACGGGAATAATTTCCCATAACTAAACACAAACACTCTGAGAAAGTTCTTCATGATGAATGCATTTAACTCGCAGAGATGAACCTGCCTTTGAGAGTTCAGGTTCGAAACACTCTTTCTGTAGAATCTGCAAGTGGATATTTGGACCACTGGCTGGCCTTCGTTCGAAACGGGTATATGTTCACGTAAAAACTAAAGAGAAGCATTCTCAGAAACTTCTGAGTGATGATTGCATTCAAGTCACACAGTTGAACCCTCCTTTTGATGGAGCAGTTTTGAAACTGTCTTTTTGTAGAATCTGTAAGTGGATACGTGGACCTCTTTGAAGATTTCTTTGGAAACGGGAATATTTCCACAGAAAAACTAAACTGAAGCATTCTCAGAAACCGCTTTGTGATGTTTGTGTTCGAGCCACAGAGTTTAACATTGCTTTTCATAGAGCAGTTTTGAAATATTCTTTTCGCAGAATCTGCAAGTGGACATTTGGAGCGCTTTCAGGCCTGTGGTGGCAAAGGCCTGAAAGCCTTTTCCTTTATCTTCACAGAAAGACGAGAGAGAAGCATTGTCAGAAACTTCTTTGTGATGGTTGCATTCAACTCACAGAGTTGAAGATTCCTTTTGAAACAGCAGTTTCGAAACACTCTTTCTGTGGGATCCGCAAGGGGATATTTGGACCTCTTTGAAGGTTTCGTTGGAAACGGGATAATCTTCACCTAAAAGCTAAACGGAAGCATTCTCAGAAACTTCTTTAGGATGTTTGCATTCACCTCACAGAGTTGAACTTTCCCTTTGATAGCGCAGCTTTGACACACTTTTTCTACAATGTGCAAGTGGCTATTTAGCGGGCTTGGAGGACTGTGTTGGAAAAGGAAATATCTTCTCCTAAAAACGACATAGAAGCATTCTCAGAAACTACTCTGTGATGATTGCATTCAACTCCCAGAGTTGAACATTCCTTTTGATAGAGCAGTTTGCAAACACTCTTTTTGTAGAATCTGCAAGTGGAGATTTGGACCGCCTTGAGGCCTGTGGTAGTAAAGGAAAGAACTTCATATAAAAACTAGACGGTAGCACTCTCAGAAAATTTTTTGTGACGATGGAGTTTAACTCAGAGAGCTGAACATTCGTTATGATGGAGCAGTTTCCAAACACACGTTTTGTAGAATCTGCAAGGGGATATTTGGACCTCTCTGAGGATTTCGTTGGAAACGGGATCAACTTCCCATAACTGAACGGAAGCAAACTCAGAACATTCTTTGTGATGTTTGTATTCAACTCACAGAGTTGAACCTTCCTTTGATAGTTCAGGTTTGCAACACCCTTGTAGTAGAATCTGCAAGTGTATATTTTGACCACTTTGTAGCCTTCGTTTGAAACGTCTATATCTTCACCTCAAACCTAGACAGAAGCATTCTCAGAAAGTTTTCTGCGATGACTGCATTCAACTCACAGAGTTGAACAATCCTTTTGATGGAGCAGTTTTGAAACCCTCTTTCTTTGGAATCTGCAAGGGGATATGTGGACCTCTTTGAAGATTTCACTGGAAACGGGATCATCTTCACATAAGAACTAAACAGAAGCATTCTCGGAAACTACTTTGTGATGTTTGTATTCAACTCCCAGAGTTGAACTTTCCTTTTGAAAGAGCAGCTATGAAACACTCTTTTTCGAGAATCTGCAAGTGGACGTTTGGAGGGCTTTGAGGCCTGTGGTGGAAAAGGAAATATCTTCACATAAAAACTAGATAGAAGCATTCTCAGAGACTACTTTGTGAGGATGGCATTCAACTCATGGAGTTGAACAATCCTATTGATAGAGCAGATTGGAATCACTCTTTTTGTAGGATCTGCAAATGGAGATTTGGACTGCTTTGAGGCCTACGGTAGTATAGGAAGGAACTTCATATAAAAGGCAAACGGAAGCATTCTCAGAATATTCTTTGTGATGATGGAGTTTCACTCACAGAGCTGAACATGCCTTTTGATGGAGCAGTTTCCAAATACACTTTTGGTAGAATCTGCAGGTGGATATTTGGACCTCTCTGAGGATTTCGTTGGAAACGGCAATAATTTCCCATACCTAAACACAAACACTCTGAGAAAGTTCTTCATGATGAATGCATTGAACTCGCAGAGATGAACCTGCCTTTGAGAGTTCAGGTTCGAAACACTCTTTCTGTAGAATCTGCAAGTGGATATTTGGACCACTGGGTGGCCTTCGTTCGAAACGGGTATATGTTCACGTAAAAACTAAAGAGAAGCATTCTCAGAAACTTCTGAGTGATGATTGCATTCAAGTCACACGGTTGAACCCTCCTTTTGATTGAGCAGTTTTGAAACTGTCTTTTTGTAGAATCTGTAAGTGGATACGTGGACCTCTTTGAAGATTTCTTTGGAAACGGGAATATTTCCACAGAAAAACTAAACTGAAGCATTCTCAGAAACTGCTTTGTGATGTTTGTGTTCGAGCCACAGAGTTTAACATTGCTTTTCATAGAGCAGTTTTGAAGTATTCTTTTGGCAGAATCTGCAAGTGGACATTTCGAGCGCTTTCAGGCCTGTGGTGGAAAAGGCCTGAAAGCCTTTTCCTTTATCTTCACAGAAAGACGAGAGAGAAGCATTGTCAGAAACTTCTTTGTGATGATTGCATTCAACTCACAGAGTTGAAGATTCCTTTTGAAACAGCAGTTTCGAAACACTCTTTCTGTGGGATCCGCAAGGGGATATTTGGACCTCTTTGAAGATTTCGTTGGAAACGGGATAATCTTCACCTAAAAGCTAAACGGAAGCATTCTCAGAAACTTCTTTGGGATGTTTGCATTCACCTCACAGAGTTGAACTTTCCCTTTGATAGCGCAGCTTCGACACACTTTTTCTACAATGTGCAAGTGGATATTTAGCGGGCTTGGAGGACTGTGTTGGAAAAGGAAATATCTTCTCCTAAAAACGACATAGAAGCATTCTCAGAAACTGCTCTGTGATGATTGCATTCAACTCCCAGAGTTGAACATTCCTTTTGATAGAGCAGTTTGCAAACACTCTTTTTGTAGAATCTGCAAGTGGAGATTTGGACCGCTTTGAGGCCTGTGGTAGTAAAGGAAAGAACTTCATATAAAAACTAGACGGTAGCACTCTCAGAAAATTCTTTGTGACGATGGAGTTTAACTCAGAGAGCTGAACATTCGTTATGATGGAGCAGTTTCCAAACACACGTTTTGTAGAATCTGCAAGGGGATATTTGGACCTCTCTGAGGATTTCGTTGGAAACGGGATCAACTTCCCATAACTGAACGGAAGCAAACTCAGAACATTCTTTGTGATGTTTGTATTCAACTCACAGAGTTGAACCTTCCTTTGATAGTTCAGGTTTGCAACACCCTTGTAGTAGAATCTGCAAGTGTATATTTTGACCACTTTGTAGCCTTCGTTTGAAACGTCTATATCTTCACATCAAACCTAGACAGAAGCATTCTCAGAAAGTTTTCTGCGATGACTGCATTCAACTCACAGAGTTGAACAATCCTTTTGATGGAGCAGTTTTGAAACCCTCTTTCTTTGGAATCTGCAAGGGGATATCTGGACCTCTTTGAAGATTTCACTGGAAACGGGATCATCTTCACATAAGAACTAAACAGAAGCATTCTCGGAAACTACTTTGTGATGTTTGTATTCAACTCCCAGAGTTGAACTTTCCTTTTGAAAGAGCAGCTATGAAACACTCTTTTTCGAGAATCTGCAAGTGGACGTTTGGAGGGCTTTGAGGCCTGTGGTGGAAAAGGAAATATCTTCACATAAAAACTAGATAGAAGCATTCTCAGAAACGACTTTGTGAGGATGGCATTCAACTCATGGAGTTGAACAGTCCTATTGATAGAGCAGATTGGAATCACTCTTTTTGTAGAATCTGCAAATGGAGATTTGGACTGCTTTGAGGCCTACGGTAGTATAGGAAGGAACTTCATATAAAAGGCAAACGGAGGCATTCTCAGAATATTCTTTGTGATGATGGAGTTTCACACACAGAGCTGAACATGCCTTTTGATGGAGCAGTTTCCAAATACACTTTTGGTAGAATCTGCAGGTGGATATTTGAACCTCTCTGAGGATTTCGTTGGAAACGGGAATAATTTCCCATAACTAAACACAAACACTCTGAGAAAGTTCTTCATGATGAATGCATTTAACTCGCAGAGATGAACCTGCCTTTGAGAGTTCAGGTTCGAAACACTCTTTCTGTAGAATCTGCAAGTGGATATTTGGACCACTGGGTGGCCTTCGTTCGAAACGGGTATATGTTCACGTAAAAACTAAAGAGAAGCATTCTCAGAAACTTCTGAGTGATGATTGCATTCAAGTCACACAGTTGAACCCTCCTTTTGATGGAGCAGTTTTGAAACTGTCTTTTTGTAGAATCTGTAAGTGGATACGTGGACCTCTTTGAAGATTTCTTTGGAAACGGGAATATTTCCACGGAAAAACTAAACTGAAGCATTCTCAGAAACTGCTTTGTGATGTTTGTGTTCGAGCCACAGAGTTTAACATTGCTTTTCATAGAGCAGTTTTGCAATATTCTTTTCACAGAATCTGCAAGTGGACATTTGGAGCGCTTTCAGGCCTGTGGTGGAAAAGGCCTGAAAGCCTTTTCCTTTATCTTCACAGAAAGACGAGAGAGAAGCATTGTCAGAAACTTCTTTGTGATGATTGCATTCAACTCACAGAGTTGAAGATTCCTTTTGAAACAGCAGTTTCGAAACACTCTTTCTGTGGGATCCGCAAGGGGATATTTGGACCTCTTTGAAGGTTTCGTTGGAAACGGGATAATCTTCACCTAAAAGCTAAACGGAAGCATTCTCAGAAACTTCTTTGGGATGTTTGCATTCACCTCACAGAGTTGAACTTTCCCTTTGATAGCACAGCTTTGACACACTTTTTCTACAATGTGCAAGTGGCTATTTAGCGGGCTTGGAGGACTGTGTTGGAAAAGGAAATATCTTCTCCTAAAAACGACATAGAAGCATTCTCAGAAACTGCTCTGTGATGATTGCATTCAACTCCCAGAGTTGAACATTCCTTTTGATAGAGCAGTTTGCAAACACTCTTTTTGTAGAATCTGCAAGTGGAGATTTGGACCGCTTTGAGGCCTGTGGTAGTGAAGGAAAGAACTTCATATAAAAACCAGACGGTAGCACTCTCAGAAAATTCTTTGTGACGATGGAGTTTAACTCAGGGAGCTGAACATTCGTTATGATGGAGCAGTTTCCAAACACACGTTTTGTAGAATCTGCGAGGGGATATTTGGACCTCTCTGAGGATTTCGTTGGAAACGGGATCAACTTCCCATAACTGAACGGAAGCAAACTCAGAACATTCTTTGTGATGTTTGTATTCAACTCACAGAGTTGAACCTTCCTTTGATAGTTCAGGTTTGCAACACCCTTGTAGTAGAATCTGCAAGTGTATATTTTGACCACTTTGTAGCCTTCGTTTGAAACGTCTATATCTTCACATCAAACCTAGACAGAAGCATTCTCAGAAAGTTTTCTGCGATGACTGCATTCAACTCACAGAGTTGAACAATCCTTCTGATGGAGCAGTTTTGAAACCCTCTTTCTTTGGAATCTGCAAGGGGATATGTGGACCTCTTTGAAGATTTCACTGGAAACGGGATCATCTTCACATAAAAACTAAACAGAAGCATTCTCGGAAACTACTTTGTGATGTTTGTATTCAACTCCCAGAGTTGAACTTTCCTTTTGAAAGAGCAGCTATGAAACACTCTTTTTCGAGAATCTGCAAGTGGACGTTTGGAGGGCTTTGAGGCCTGTGGTGGAAAAGGAAATATCTTCACATAAAAACTAGATAGAAGCATTCTCAGAAACAACTTTGTGAGGATGGCATTCAACTCATGGAGTTGAACAATCCTATTGATAGAGCAGATTGGAATCACTCTTTTTGTAGAATCTGCAAATGGAGATTTGGACTGCTTTGAGGCCTACGGTCGTATAGGAAGGAACTTCATATAAAAGGCAAACGGAAGCATTCTCAGAATATTCTTTGTGATGATGGAGTTTCACTCACAGAGCTGAACATGCCTTTTGATGGAGCAGTTTCCAAATACACTTTTGGTAGAATCTGCAGGTGGATATTTGGACCTCTCTGAGGATTTCGTTGGAAACGGGAATAATTTCCCATAACTAAACACAAACACTCTGAGAAAGTTCTTCATGATGAATGCATTTAACTCGCAGAGATGAACCTGCCTTTGAGAGTTCAGGTTCGAAACACTCTTTCTGTAGAATCTGCAAGTGGATATTTGGACCACTGGCTGGCCTTCGTTCGAAACGGGTATATGTTCACGTAAAAACTAAAGAGAAGCATTCTCAGAAACTTCTGAGTGATGATTGCATTCAAGTCACACGGTTGAACCCTCCTTTTGATTGAGCAGTTTTGAAACTGTCTTTTTGTAGAATCTGTTAGAGGACACGTGGACCTCTTTGAAGATTTCTTTGGAAACGGGAATATTTCCACAGAAAAACTAAACTGAAGCATTCTCAGAAACTGCTTTGTGATGTTTGTGTTCGAGCCGCTGAGTTTAACATTGCTTTTCATAGAGCAGTTTTGAAATATTCTTTTGGCAGAATCTGCAAGTGGACATTTGGAGCGCTTTCAGGCCTGTGGTGGAAAAGGCCTGAAAGCCTTTTCCTTTATCTTCACAGAAAGACGAGAGAGAAGCATTGTCAGAAACTTCTTTGTGATGATTGCATTCAACTCACAGAGTTGAAGATTCCTTTTGAAACAGCAGTTTCGAAACACTCTTTCTGTGGGATCCGCAAGGGGATATTTGGACCTCTTTGAAGATTTCGTTGGAAACGGGATAATCTTCACCTAAAAGCTAAACGGAAGCATTCTCAGAAACTTCTTTGGGATGTTTGCATTCACCTCACAGAGTTGAACTTTCCCTTTGATAGCGCAGCTTCGACACACTGTTTCTACAATGTGCAAGTGGATATTTAGCGGGCTTGGAGGACTGTGTTGGAAAAGGAAATATCTTCTCCTAAAAACGACATAGAAGCATTCTCAGAAACTGCTCTGTGATGATTGCATTCAACTCCCAGAGTTGAACATTCCTTTTGATAGAGCAGTTTGCAAACACTCTTTTTGTAGAATCTGCAAGTGGAGATTTGGACCGCTTTGAGGCCTGTGGTAGTGAAGGAAAGAACTTCATATAAAAACCAGACGGTAGCACTCTCAGAAAATTCTTTGTGACGATGGAGTTTAACTCAGGGAGCTGAACATTCGTTATGATGGAGCAGTTTCCAAACACACGTTTTGTAGAATCTGCAAGGGGATATTTGGACCTCTCTGAGGATTTCGTTGGAAACGGGATCAACTTCCCATAACTGAACGGAAGCAAACTCAGAACATTCTTTGTGATGTTTGTATTCAACTCACAGAGTTGAACCTTCCTTTGATAGTTCAGGTTTGCAACACCCTTGTAGTAGAATCTGCAAGTGTATATTTTGACCACTTTGTAGCCTTCGTTTGAAACGTCTATATCTTCACATCAAACCTAGACAGAAGCATTCTTAGAAAGTTTTCTGCGATGACTGCATTCAACTCACAGAGTTGAACAATCCTTCTGATGGAGCAGTTTTGAAACCCTCTTTCTTTGGAATCTGCAAGGGAATATGTGGACCTCTTTGAAGATTTCACTGGAAACGGGATCATCTTCACATAAAAACTAAATATAAGCATTCTCGGAAACTACTTTGGGATGTTTGTATTCAACTCCCAGAGTTGAACTTTCCTTTTGGAAGAGCAGCTATGAAACACTCTTTTTCGAGAATCTGCAAGTGGACGTTTGGAGGGCTTTGAGGCCTGTGGTGGAAAAGGAAATATCTTCACATAAAAACTAGATAGAAGCATTCTCAGAAACGACTTTGTGAGGATGGCATTCAACTCATGGAGTTGAACAATCCTATTGATAGAGCAGATTGGAATCACTCTTTTTGTAGAATCTGCAAATGGAGATTTGGACTGCTTTGAGGCCTACGGTCGTATAGGAAGGAACTTCATATAAAAGGCAAACGGAAGCATTCTCAGAATGTTCTTTGTGATGATGGAGTTTCACTCACAGAGCTGAACATGCCTGTTGATGGAGCAGTTTCCAAATACACTTTTGGTAGAATCTGCAGGTGGATATTTGGAGCTCTCTGAGGATTTCATTGGAAACGGGAATAATTTCCCATAACTAAACACAAACACTCTGAGAAAGTTCTTCATGATGAATGCATTTAACTCGCAGAGATGAACCTGCCTTTGAGAGTTCAGGTTCGAAACACTCTTTCTGTATAATCTGCAAGTGGATATTTGGACCACTGGGTGGCCTTCGTTCGAAACGGGTATATGTTCACGTAAAAACTAAAGAGAAGCATTCTCAGAAACTTCTGAGTGATGATTGCATTCAAGTCACACAGTTGAACCCTCCTTTTGATGGAGCAGTTTTGAAACTGTCTTTTTGTAGAATCTGTAAGTGGATACGTGGACCTCTTTGAAGATTTCTTTGGAAACGGGAATATTTCCACAGAAAAACTAAACTGAAACATTCTCAGAAACCGCTTTGTGATGTTTGTGTTCCAGCCACAGAGTTTAACATTGCTTTTCATAGAGCAGTTTTGAAATATTCTTTTCGCAGAATCTGCAAGTGGACATTTGGAGCGCTTTCAGGCCTGTGGTGGAAAAGGCCTGAAAGCCTTTTCCTTTATCTTCACAGAAAGACGAGAGAGAAGCATTGTCAGAAACTTCTTTGTGATGATTGCATTCAACTCACAGAGTTGAAGATTCCTTTTGAAACAGCAGTTTCGAAACACTCTTTCTGTGGGATCCGCAAGGGGATATTTGGACCTCTTTGAAGGTTTCGTTGGAAACGGGATAATCTTCACCTAAAAGCTAAACGGAAGCATTCTCAGAAACTTCTTTGGGATGTTTGCATTCACCTCACAGAGTTGAACTTTCCCTTTGATAGCGCAGCTTTGACACACTTTTTCTACAATGTGCAAGTGGCTATTTAGCGGGCTTGGAGGACTGTGTTGGAAAAGGAAATATCTTCTCCTAAAAACGACATAGAAGCATTCTCAGAAACTGCTCTGTGATGATTGCATTCAACTCCCAGAGTTGAACATTCCTTTTGATAGAGCAGTTTGCAAACACTCTTTTTGTAGAATCTGCAAGTGGAGATTTGGACCGCTTTGAGGCCTGTGGTAGTGAAGGAAAGAACTTCATATAAAAACCAGACGGTAGCACTCTCAGAAAATTCTTTGTGACGATGGAGTTTAACTCAGGGAGCTGAACATTCGTTATGATGGAGCAGTTTCCAAACACACGTTTTGTAGAATCTGCAAGGGGATATTTGGACCTCTCTGAGGATTTCGTTGGAAACGGGATCAACTTCCCATAACTGAACGGAAGCAAACTCAGAACATTCTTTGTGATGTTTGTATTCAACTCACAGAGTTGAACCTTCCTTTGATAGTTCAGGTTTGCAACACCCTTGTAGTAGAATCTGCAAGTGTATATTTTGACCACTTTGTAGCCTTCGTTTGAAACGTCTATATCTTCACATCAAACCTAGACAGAAGCATTCTCAGAAAGTTTTCTGCGATGACTGCATTCAACTCACAGAGTTGAACAATCCTTCTGATTGGAGCAGTTTTGAAACCCTCTTTCTTTGGAATCTGCAAGGGGATATGTGGACCTCTTTGAAGATTTCACTGGAAACGGGATCATCTTCACATAAAAACTAAACAGAAGCATTCTCGGAAACTACTTTGTGATGTTTGTATTCAACTCCCAGAGTTGAACTTTCCTTTTGAAAGAGCAGCTATGAAACACTCTTTTTCGAGAATCTGCAAGTGGACGTTTGGAGGGCTTTGAGGCCTGTGGTGGAAAAGGAAATATCTTCACATAAAAACTAGATAGAAGCATTCTCAGAAACTACTTCGTGAGGATGGCTTTCAACTCATGGAGTTGAACAATCCTATTGATACAGCAGATTGGAATCACTCTTTTTGTAGAATCTGCAAATGGAGATTTGGACTGCTTTGAGGCCTACGGTCGTATAGGAAGGAACTTCATATAAAAGGCAAACGGAAGCATTCTCAGAATATTCTTTGTGATGATGGAGTTTCACTCACAGAGCTGAACATGCCTTTTGATGGAGCAGTTTCCAAATACACTTTTGGTAGAATCTGCAGGTGGATATTTGGACCACTCTGAGGATTTCGTTGGAAACGGGAATAATTTCCCATAACTAAGCACAAACACTCTGAGAAAGTTCTTCATGATGAATGCATTTAACTCGCAGAGATGAACCTGCCTTTGAGAGTTCAGGTTCGAAACACTCTTTCTGTATAATCTGCAAGTGGATATTTGGACCACTGGGTGGCCTTCGTTCGAAACGGGTATATGTTCACGTAAAAACTAAAGAGAAGCATTCTCAGAAACTTCTGAGTGATGATTGCATTCAAGTCACACAGTTGAACCCTCCTTTTGATGGAGCAGTTTTGAAACTGTCTTTTTGTAGAATCTGTAAGTGGATACGTGGACCTCTTTGAAGATTTCTTTGGAAACGGGAATATTTCCACAGAAAAACTAAACTGAAACATTCTCACAAACCGCTTTGTGATGTTTGTGTTCCAGCCACAGAGTTTAACATTGCTTTTCATAGAGCAGTTTTGAAATATTCTTTTGGCAGAATCTGCAAGTGGACATTTGGAGCGCTTTCAGGCCTGTGGTGGCAAAGGCCTGAAAGCCTTTTCCTTTATCTTCACAGAAAGACGAGAGAGAAGCATTGTCAGAAACTTCTTTGTGATGATTGCATTCAACTCACAGAGTTGAAGATTCCTTTTGAAACAGCAGTTTCGAAACACTCTTTCTGTGGGATCCGCAAGGGGATATTTGGACCTCTTTGAAGGTTTCGTTGGAAACGGGATAATCTTCACCTAAAAGCTAAACGGAAGCATTCTCAGAAACTTCTTTGGGATGTTTGCATTCACCTCACAGAGTTGAACTTTCCCTTTGATAGCGCAGCTTTGACACACTTTTTCTACAATGTGCAAGTGGCTATTTAGCGGGCTTGGAGGACTGTGTTGGAAAAGGAAATATCTTCTCCTAAAAACGACATAGAAGCATTCTCAGAAACTGCTCTGTGATGATTGCATTCAACTCCCAGAGTTGAACATTCCTTTTGATAGAGCAGTTTGCAAACACTCTTTTTGTAGAATCTGCAAGTGGAGATTTGGACCGCTTTGAGGCCTGTGGTAGTGAAGGAAAGAGCTTCATATAAAAACCAGACGGTAGCACTCTCAGAAAATTCTTTGTGACGATGGAGTTTAACTCAGGGAGCTGAACATTCGTTATGATGGAGCAGTTTCCAAACACACGTTTTGTAGAATCTGCGAGGGGATATTTGGACCTCTCTGAGGATTTCGTTGGAAACGGGATCAACTTCCCATAACTGAACGGAAGCAAACTCAGAACATTCTTTGTGATGTTTGTATTCAACTCACAGAGTTGAACCTTCCTTTGATAGTTCAGGTTTGCAACACCCTTGTAGTAGAATCTGCAAGTGTATATTTTGACCACTTTGTAGCCTTCGTTTGAAACGTCTATATCTTCACATCAAACCTAGACAGAAGCATTCTCAGAAAGTTTTCTGCGATGACTGCATTCAACTCACAGAGTTGAACAATCCTTCTGATGGAGCAGTTTTGAAACCCTCTTTCTTTGGAATCTGCAAGGGGATATGTGGACCTCTTTGAAGATTTCACTGGAAACGGGATCATCTTCACATAAAAACTAAACAGAAGCATTCTCGGAAACTACTTTGTGATGTTTGTATTCAACTCCCAGAGTTGAAATTTCCTTTTGAAAGAGCAGCTATGAAACACTCTTTTTCGAGAAACTGCAAGTGGACGTTTGGAGGGCTTTGAGGCCTGTGGTGGAAAAGGAAATATCTTCACATAAAAACTAGATAGAAGCATTCTCAGAAACGACTTTGTGAGGATGGCATTCAACTCATGGAGTTGAACAATCCTATTGATAGAGCAGATTGGAATCACTCTTTTTGTAGAATCTGCAAATGGAGATTTGGACTGCTTTGAGGCCTACGGTCGTATAGGAAGGAACTTCATATAAAAGGCAAACGGAAGCATTCTCAGAATATTCTTTGTGATGATGGAGTTTCACTCACAGAGCTGAACATGCCTTTTGATGGAGCAGTTTCCAAATACACTTTTGGTAGAATCTGCAGGTGGATATTTGGAGCTCTCCGAGGATTTCGTTGGAAACGGGAATAATTTCCCATAACTAAACACAAACACTCTGAGAAAGTTCTTCATGATGAATGCATTTAACTCGCAGAGATGAACCTGCCTTTGAGAGTTCAGGTTCGAAACACTCTTTCTGTAGAATCTGCAAGTGGATATTTGGACCACTGGCTGGCCTTCGTTCGAAACGGGTATATGTTCACGTAAAAACTAAAGAGAAGCATTCTCAGAAACTTCTGAGTGATGATTGCATTCAAGTCACACAGTTGAACCCTCCTTTTGATGGAGCAGTTTTGAAACTGTCTTTTTGTAGAATCTGTAAGTGGATACGTGGACCTCTTTGAAGATTTCTTTGGAAACGGGAATATTTCCACAGAAAAACTAAACTGAAGTATTCTCAGAAACCGCTTTGTGATGTTTGTGTTCGAGCCACAGAGTTTAACATTGCTTTTCATAGAGCAGTTTTGAAATATTCTTTTGGCAGAATCTGCAAGTGGACATTTGGAGCGCTTTCAGGCCTGTGGTGGAAAAGGCCTGAAAGCCTTTTCCTTTATCTTCACAGAAAGACGAGAGAGAAGCATTGTCAGAAACTTCTTTGTGATGATTGCATTCAACTCACAGAGTTGAAGATTCCTTTTGAAACAGCAGTTTCGAAACACTCTTTCTGTGGGATCCGCAAGGGGATATTTGGACCTCTTTGAAGCTTTCGTTGGAAACGGGATAATCTTCACCTAAAAGCTAAACGGAAGCATTCTCAGAAACTTCTTTGGGATGTTTGCATTCACCTCACAGAGTTGAACTTTCCCTTTGATAGCGCAGCTTTGACACACTTTTTCTACAATGTGCAAGTGGCTATTTAGCGGGCTTGGAGGACTGTGTTGGAAAAGGAAATATCTTCTCCTAAAAACGACATAGAAGCATTCTCAGAAACTGCTCTGTGATGATTGCATTCAACTCCCAGAGTTGAACATTCCTTTTGATAGAGCAGTTTGCAAACACTCTTTTTGTAGAATCTGCAAGTGGAGATTTGGACCGCTTTGAGGTCTGTGGTAGTGAAGGAAAGAACTTCATATAAAAACCAGACGGTAGCACTCTCAGAAAATTCTTTGTGACGATGGAGTTTAACTCAGGGAGCTGAACATTCGTTATGATGGAGCAGTTTCCAAACACACGTTTTGTAGAATCTGCAAGGGGATATTTGGACCTCTCTGAGGATTTCGTTGGAAACGGGATCAACTTCCCATAACTGAACGGAAGCAAACTCAGAACATTCTTTGTGATGTTTGTATTCAACTCACAGAGTTGAACCTTCCTTTGATAGTTCAGGTTTGCAACACCCTTGTAGTAGAATCTGCAAGTGTATATTTTGACCACTTTGTAGCCTTCGTTTGAAACGTCTATATCTTCACATCAAACCTAGACAGAAGCATTCTCAGAAAGTTTTCTGCGATGACTGCATTCAACTCACAGAGTTGAACAATCCTTCTGATGGAGCAGTTTTGAAACCCTCTTTCTTTGGAATCTGCAAGGGGATATGTGGACCTCTTTGAAGATTTCACTGGAAACGGGATCATCTTCACATAAAAACTAAACAGAAGCATTCTCGGAAACTACTTTGTGATGTTTGTATTCAACTCCCAGAGTTGAACTTTCCTTTTGAAAGAGCAGCTATGAAACACTCTTTTTCGAGAATCTGCAAGTGGACGTTTGGAGGGCTTTGAGGCCTGTGGTGGAAAAGGAAATATCTTCACATAAAAACTAGATAGAAGCATTCTCAGAAACGACTTTGTGAGGATGGCATTCAACTCATGGAGTTGAACAATCCTATTGATAGAGCAGATTGGAATCACTCTTTTTGTAGAATCTGCAAATGGAGATTTGGACTGCTTTGAGGCCTACGGTCGTATAGGAAGGAACTTCAGATAAAAGGCAAACGGAAGCATTCTCAGAATATTCTTTGTGATGATGGAGTTTCACTCACAGAGCTGAACATGCCTTTTGATGGAGCAGTTTCCAAATACACTTTTGGTAGAATCTGCAGGTGGATATTTGGAGCTCTCTGAGGATTTCTTTGGAAACGGGAATAATTTCCCATAACTAAACACAAACACTCTGAGAAAGTTCTTCATGATGAATGCATTTAACTCGCAGAGATGAACCTGCCTTTGGGAGTTCAGGTTCGAAACACTCTTTCTGTAGAATCTGCAAGTGGATATTTGGACCACTGGGTGGCCTTCGTTCGAAACGGGTATATGTTCACGTAAAAACTAAAGAGAAGCATTCTCAGAAACTTCTGAGTGATGATTGCATTCAAGTCACACAGTTGAACCCTCCTTTTGATGGAGCAGTTTTGAAACTGTCTTTTTGTAGAATCTGTAAGTGGATACGTGGACCTCTTTGAAGATTTCTTTGGAAACGGGAATATTTCCACAGAAAAACTAAACTGAAGCATTCTCAGAAACTGCTTTGTGATGTTTGTGTTCGAGCCACAGAGTTTAACATTGCTTTTCATAGAGCAGTTTTGAAATATTCTTTTCGCAGAATCTGCAAGTGGACATTTGGAGCGCTTTCAGGCCTGTGGTGGAAAAGGCCTGAAAGCCTTTTCCTTTATCTTCACAGAAAGACGAGAGAGAAGCATTGTCAGAAACTTCTTTGTGATGATTGCATTCAACTCACAGAGTTGAAGATTCCTTTTGAAACAGCAGTTTCGAAACACTCTTTCTGTGGGATCCGCAAGGGGATATTTGGACCTCTTTGAAGGTTTCGTTGGAAACGGGATAATCTTCACCTAAAAGCTAAACGGAAGCACTCTCAGAAACTTCTTTGGGATGTTTGCATTCACCTCTCAGAGTTGAACTTTCCCTTTGATAGCGCAGCTTTGACACACTTTTTCTACAATGTGCAAGTGGCTATTTAGCGGGCTTGGAGGACTGTGTTGGAAAAGGAAATATCTTCTCCTAAAAACGACATAGAAGCATTCTGAGAAACTGCTCTGTGATGATTGCATTCAACTCCCAGAGTTGAACATTCCTTTTGATAGAGCAGTTTGCAAACACTCTTTTTGTAGAATCTGCAAGTGGAGATTTGGACCGCTTTGAGGACTGGGGTAGTAAAGGAAAGAGCTTCATATAAAAACCAGACGGTAGCACTCTCAGAAAATTCTTTGTGACGATGGAGTTTAACTCAGGGAGCTGAACATTCGTTATGATGGAGCAGTTTCGAAACACACGTTTTGTAGAATCTGCAAGGGGATATTTGGACCTCTCTGAGGATTTCGTTGGAAACGGGATCAACTTCCCATAACTGAACGGAAGCAAACTCAGAAAATTCTTTGTGATGTTTGTATTCAACTCCCAGAGTTGAACTTTCCTTTTGAAAGAGCAGCTATGAAACACTCTTTTTCTAGAATCTGCAAGTGGACGTTTGGAGGGCTTTGAGGCCTGTGGTGGAAAAGGAAATATCTTCACATAAAAACTAGATAGAAGCATTCTCAGAAACTACTTTGTGAGGATGGCATTCAACTCATGGAGTTGAACAATCCTATTGATAGAGCAGATTGGAATCACTCTTTTTGTAGAATCTGCAAATGGAGATTTGGACTGCTTTGAGGCCTACGGTCGTATAGGAAGGAACTTCATATAAAAGGCAAACGGAAGCATTCTCAGAATATTCTTTGTGATGATGGAGTTTCACTCACAGAGCTGAACATGCCTTTTGATGGAGCAGTTTCCAAATACACTTTTGGTAGAATCTGCAGGTGGATATTTGGAGCTCTCTGAGGATTTCGTTGGAAACGGGAATAATTTCCCATAACTAAACACAAACACTCTGAGAAAGTTCTTCATGATGAATGCATTTAACTCGCAGAGATGAACCTGCCTTTGAGAGTTAATGTTCGAAACTCTCTTTCTGTAGAATCTGCAAGTGGATATTTGGACCACTGGCTGGCCTTCGTTCGAAACGGGTATATGTTCACGTAAAAACTAAAGAGAAGCATTCTCAGAAACTTCTGAGTGATGATTGCATTCAAGTCACACGGGTTGAACCCTCCCTTTTGATTGAGCAGTTTTGAAACTGTCTTTTTGTAGAATCTGTAAGTGGATACGTGGACCTCTTTGAAGATTTCTTTGGAAACGGGAATATTTCCACAGAAAAACTAAACTGAAGCATTCTCAGAAACGGCTTTGTGATGTTTCTGTTCGAGCCACAGAGTTTAACATTGCTTTTCATAGAGCAGTTTTGAAATATTCTTTTGGCAGAATCTGCAAGTGGACATTTGGAGCGCTTTCAGGCCTGTGGTGGAAAAGGCCTGAAAGCCTTTTCCTTTATCTTCACAGAAAGACGAGAGAGAAGCATTGTCAGAAACTTCTTTGTGATGATTGCATTCAACTCACAGAGTTGAAGATTCCTTTTGAAACAGCAGTTTCGAAACACTCTTTCTGTGGGATCCGCAAGGGGATATTTGGACCTCTTTGAAGATTTCGTTGGAAACGGGATAATCTTCACCTAAAAGCTAAACGGAAGCATTCTCAGAAACTTCTTTGGGATGTTTGCATTCACCTCACAGAGTTGAACTTTCCCTTTGATAGCGCAGCTTCGACACACTTTTTCTACAATGTGCAAGTGGATATTTAGCGGGCTTGGAGGACTGTGTTGGAAAAGGAAATATCTTCTCCTAAAAACGACATAGAAGCATTCTCAGAAACTGCTCTGTGATGATTGCATTCAACTCCCAGAGTTGAACACTCCTTTTGATAGAGCAGTTTGCAAACACTCTTTTTGTAGAATCTGCAAGTGGAGATTTGGACCGCTTTGAGGCCTGTGGTAGTAAAGGAAAGAACTTCATATAAAAACTAGACGGTAGCACTCTCAGAAAATTCTTTGTGACGATTGAGTTTAACTCAGGGAGCTGAACATTCGTTATGATGGAGCAGTTTCCAAACACACGTTTTGTAGAATCTGCAAGGGGATATTTGGACCTCTCTGAGGATTTCGTTGGAAACGGCATCAACTTCCCATAACTGAACGGAAGCAAACTCAGAACATTCTTTGTGATGTTTGTATTCAACTCACAGTGTTGAACCTTCCTTTGATAGTTCAGGTTTGCAACACCCTTGTAGTAGAATCTGCAAGTGTATATTTTGACCAGTTTGTAGCCTTCGTTTGAAACGTCTATATCTTCACATCAAACCTAGACAGAAGCATTCTCAGAAAGATTTCTGCGATGACTGCATTCAACTCACAGAGTTGAACAATCCTTTTGATGGAGCAGTTTTGAAACCCTCTTTCTTTGGAATCTGCAAGGGGATAAGTGGACCTCTTTGAAGATTTCACTGGAAACGGGATCATCTTCACATAAAAACTAAACAGAAGCATTCTCGGAAACTACTTTGTGATGTCTGTATTCAACTCCCAGAGTTGAACTTTCCTTTTGAAAGAGCAGCTATGAAACACTCTTTTTCGAGAATCTGCAAGTGGACGTTTGGAGGGCTTTGAGGCCTGTGGTGGAAAAGGAAATATCTTCACATGAAAACTAGATAGAAGCATTCTCAGAAACTACTTTGTGAGGATGGCATTCAACTCATGGAGTTGAACAATCCTATTGATAGAGCAGATTGGAATCACTCTTTTTGTAGAATCTGCAAATGGAGATTTGGACTGCTTTGAGGCCTACGGTAGTATAGGAAGGAACTTCATATAAAAAGCAAACGGAAGCATTCTCAGAGTATTCTTTGTGATGATGGAGTTTAACTCACAGAGCTGAACATGCCCTTTGATGGAGCAGTTTCCAAATACACTTTTGGTAGAATCTGCAGGTGGATATTTGGACCTCTCTGAGGATCTCGTTGGAAACGGGAATAATTTCCCATAACTAAACACAAACACTCTGAGAAAGTTCTTCATGATGAATGCATTTAACTCACAGAGATGAACCTTCCTTTCAGAGTTTAGGTTTGAAACACTCTTTCTGTAGAATCTGCAAGTGGATATTTGGACCACTGGGTGGCCTTCGTTCGAAACGGGTATATGTTCACGTAAAAACTAAAGAGAAGCATTCTCAGAAACTTCTGAGTGATGATTGCATTCAAGTCACACGGTTGAACCCTCCTTTTGATGGAGCAGTTTTGAAACTGTCTTTTTGTAGAATCTGTAAGTGGATATGGTGGACCTCTTTGAAGATTTCTTTGGAAACGGGAATATTTCCACAGAAAAACTAAACTGAAGCATTCTCAGAAACCGCTTTGTGATGTTTGTGTTCGAGCCACAGAGTTTAACATTGCTTTTCATAGAGCAGTTTTGAAATATTCTTTTGGCAGAATCTGCAAGTGGACATTTGGACCGCTTTCAGGCCTGTGGTGGCAAAGGCCTGAAAGCCTTTTCCTTTATCTTCACAGAAAGACGAGAGAGAAGCATTGTCAGAAACTTCTTTGTGATGATTGCATTCAACTCACAGAGTTGAAGATTCCTTTTGAAACAGCAGTTTCGAAACACTCTTTCTGTGGGATCCGCAAGGGGATATTTGGACCTCTTTGAAGGTTTCGTTGGAAACGGGATAATCTTCACCTAAAAGCTAAACGGAAGCATTCTCAGAAACTTCTTTGGGATGTTTGCATTCACCTCACAGAGTTGAACTTTCCCTTTGATAGCGCAGCTTTGACACACTTTTTCTACAATGTGCAAGTGGCTATTTAGCGGGCTTGGAGGACTGTGTTGGAAAAGGAAGTATCTTCTCCTAAAAACGACATAGAAGCATTCTCAGAAACTGCTCTGTGATGATTGCATTCAACTCCCAGAGTTGAACATTCCTTTTGATAGAGCAGTTTGCAAACACTCTTTTTGTAGAATCTGCAAGTGGAGATTTGGACCGCTTTGAGGCCAGTGGTAGTGAAGGAAAGAACTTCATATAAAAACCAGACGGTAGCACTCTCAGAAAATTCTTTGTGACGATGGAGTTTAACTCAGGGAGCTGAACATTCGTTATGATGGAGCAGTTTCCAAACACACGTTTTGTAGAATCTGCAAGGGGATATTTGGACCTCTCTGAGGATTTCGTTGGAAACGGGATCAACTTCCCATAACTGAACGGAAGCAAACTCAGAACATTCTTTGTGATGTTTGTATTCAACTCACAGAGTTGAACCTTCCTTTGATAGTTCAGGTTTGCAACACCCTTGTAGTAGAATCTGCAAGTGTATATTTTGACCACTTTGTAGCCTTCGTTTGAAACGTCTATATCTTCACATCAAACCTAGACAGAAGCATTCTCAGAAAGTTTTCTGCGATGACTGCATTCAACTCACAGAGTTGAACAATCCTTCTGATGGAGCAGTTTTGAAACCCTCTTTCTTTGGAATCTGCAAGGGGATATGTGGACCTCTTTGAAGATTTCACTGGAAACGGGATCAACTTCACATAAAAACTAAACAGAAGCATTCTCGGAAACTACTTTGTGATGTTTGTATTCAACTCCCAGAGTTGAACTTTCCTTTTGAAAGAGCAGCTATGAAACACTCTTTTTCGAGAATCTGCAAGTGGACGTTTGGAGGGCTTTGAGGCCTGTGGTGGAAAAGGAAATATCTTCACATAAAAACTAGATAGAAGCATTCTCAGAAACTACTTTGTGAGGATGGCATTCAACTCATGGAGTTGAACAATCCTATTGATAGAGCAGATTGGAATCACTCTTTTTGTAGAATCTGCAAATGGAGATTTGGACTGCTTTGAGGCCTACAGTAGTACAGGAAGGAACTTCATATAAAAGGCAAACGGAAGCATTCTCAGAATATTCTTTGTGATGATGGAGTTTCACTCACAGAGCTGAACATGCCTTTTGATGGAGCAGTTTCCAAATACACTTTTGGTAGAATCTGCAGGTGGATATTTGGAGCTCTCTGAGGATTTCGTTGGAAACGGGAATAATTTCCCATAACTAAACACAAACACTCTGAGAAAGTTCTTCATGATGAATGCATTTAACTCGCAGAGATGAACCTGCCTTTGAGAGTTCAGGTTCGAAACACTCTTTCTGTAGAATCTGCAAGTGGATATTTGGACCACTGGCTGGCCTTCGTTCGAAACGGGTATATGTTCACGTAAAAACTAAAGAGAAGCATTCTCAGAAACTTCTGAGTGATGATTGCATTCAAGTCACACAGTTGAACCCTCCTTTTGATGGAGCAGTTTTGAAACTGTCTTTTTGTAGAATCTGTAAGTGGATACGTGGACCTCTTTGAAGATTTCTTTGGAAACGGGAATATTTCCACAGAAAAACTAAACTGAAGCATTCTCAGAAACCGCTTTGTGATGTTTGTGTTCGAGCCACAGAGTTTAACATTGCTTTTCATAGAGCAGTTTTGAAATATTCTTTTCGCAGAATCTGCAAGTGGACATTTGGAGCGCTTTCAGGCCTGTGGTGGAAAAGGCCTGAAAGCCTTTTCCTTTATCTTCACAGAAAGACGAGAGAGAAGCATTGTCAGAAACTTCTTTGTGATGATTGCATTCAACTCACAGAGTTGAAGATTCCTTTTGAAACAGCAGTTTCGAAACACTCTTTCTGTGGGATCCGCAAGGGGATATTTGGACCTCTTTGAAGGTTTCGTTGGAAACGGGATAATCTTCACCTAAAAGCTAAACGGAAGCATTCTCAGAAACTTCTTTGGGATGTTTGCATTCACCTCACAGAGCTGAACTTTCCCTTTGATAGCGCAGCTTTGACACACTTTTTCTACAATGTGCAAGTGGCTATTTAGCGGGCTTGGAGGACTGTGTTGGAAAAGGAAATATCTTCTCCTAAAAACGACATAGAAGCATTCTCAGAAACTGCTCTGTGATGATTGCATTCAACTCCCAGAGTTAAACATTCCTTTTGACAAAGCAGTTTGCAAACACTCTTTTTGTAGAATCTGCAAGTGGAGATTTGGACCGCTTTGAGGCCTGTGGTAGTGAAGGAAAGAACTTCATATAAAAACCAGACGGTAGCACTCTCAGAAAATTCTTTGTGACGATGGAGTTTAACTCAGGGAGCTGAACATTCGTTATGATGGAGCAGTTTCCAAACACACGTTTTGTAGAATCTGCAAGGGGATATTTGGACCTCTCTGAGGATTTCGTTGGAAACGGGATCAACTTCCCATAACTGAACGGAAGCAAACTCAGAACATTCTTTGTGATGTTTGTATTCAACTCACAGAGTTGAACCTTCCTTTGATAGTTCAGGTTTGCAACACCCTTGTAGTAGAATCTGCAAGTGTATATTTTGACCACTTTGTAGCCTTCGTTTGAAACGTCTATATCTTCACATCAAACCTAGACAGAAGCATTCTCAGAAAGTTTTCTGCGATGACTGCATTCAACTCACAGAGTTGAACAATCCTTCTGATGGAGCAGTTTTGAAACCCTCTTTCTTTGGAATCTGCAAGGGGATATGTGGACCTCTTTGAAGATTTCACTGGAAACGGGATCATCTTCACATAAAAACTAAACAGAAGCATTCTCGGAAACTACTTTGTGATGTTTGTATTCAACTCCCAGAGTTGAACTTTCCTTTTGAAAGAGCAGCTATGAAACACTCTTTTTCGAGAATCTGCAAGTGGACGTTTGGAGGGCTTTGAGGCCTGTGGTGGAAAAGGAAATATCTTCACATAAAAACTAGATAGAAGCATTCTCAGAAACGACTTTGTGAGGACGGCATTCAACTCATGGAGTTGAACAATCCTAATGATAGAGCACATTGGAATCACGCTTTTTGTAGAATCGGCAAATGGAGATTTGGACTGTTTTGAGGCCTACGGTAGTACAGGAAGGAACTTCATATAAAAGGCAAACGGAAGCATTCTCAGAATATTCTTTGTGATGATGGAGTTTCACTCACAGAGCTGAACATGCCTTTTGATGGAGCAGTTTCCAAATACACTTTTGGTAGAATCTGCAGGTGGATATTTGGAGCTCTCTGAGGATTTCGTTGGAAACGGGAATAATTTCCCATAACTAAACACAAACACTCTGAGAAAGTTCTTCATGATGAATGCATTTAACTCGCAGAGATGAACCTGCCTTTGAGAGTTCAGGTTCGAAACACTCTTTCTGTAGAATCTGCAAGTGGATATTTGGACCACTGGCTGGCCTTCGTTCGAAACGGGTATATGTTCACGTAAAAACTAAAGAGAAGCATTCTCAGAAACTTCTGAGTGATGATTGCATTCAAGTCACACAGTTGAACCCTCCTTTTGATGGAGCAGTTTTGAAACTGTCTTTTTGTAGAATCTGTAAGTGGATACGTGGACCTCTTTGAAGATTTCTTTGGAAACGGGAATATTTCCACAGAAAAACTAAACTGAAGCATTCTCAGAAACCGCTTTGTGATGTTTGTGTTCGAGCCACAGAGTTTAACATTGCTTTTCATAGAGCAGTTTTGAAATATTCTTTTCGCAGAATCTGCAAGTGGACATTTGGAGCGCTTTCAGGCCTGTGGTGGAAAAGGCCTGAAAGCCTTTTCCTTTATCTTCACAGAAAGACGAGAGAGAAGCATTGTCAGAAACTTCTTTGTGATGATTGCATTCAACTCACAGAGTTGAAGATTCCTTTTGAAACAGCAGTTTCGAAACACTCTTTCTGTGGGATCCGCAAGGGGATATTTGGACCTCTTTGAAGGTTTCGTTGGAAACGGGATAATCTTCACCTAAAAGCTAAACGGAAGCATTCTCAGAAACTTCTTTGGGATGTTTGCATTCACCTCACAGAGTTGAACTTTCCCTTTGATAGCGCAGCTTTGACACACTTTTTCTACAATGTGCAAGTGGCTATTTAGCGGGCTTGGAGGACTGTGTTGGAAAAGGAAATATCTTCTCCTAAAAACGACATAGAAGCATTCTCAGAAACTGCTCTGTGATGATTGCATTCAACTCCCAGAGTTGAACATTCCTTTTGATAGAGCAGTTTGCAAACACTCTTTTTGTAGAATCTGCAAGTGGAGATTTGGACCGCTTTGAGGCCTGTGGTAGTGAAGGAAAGAACTTCATATAAAAACCAGACGGTAGCACTCTCAGAAAATTCTTTGTGACGATGGAGTTTAACTCAGGGAGCTGAACATTCGTTATGATGGAGCAGTTTCCAAACACACGTTTTGTAGAATCTGCGAGGGGATATTTGGACCTCTCTGAGGATTTCGTTGGAAACGGGATCAACTTCCCATAACTGAACGGAAGCAAACTCAGAACATTCTTTGTGATGTTTGTATTCAACTCACAGAGTTGAACCTTCCTTTGATAGTTCAGGTTTGCAACACCCTTGTAGTAGAATCTGCAAGTGTATATTTTGACCACTTTGTAGCCTTCGTTTGAAACGTCTATATCTTCACATCAAACCTAGACAGAAGCATTCTCAGAAAGTTTTCTGCGATGACTGCATTCAACTCACAGAGTTGAACAATCCTTCTGATGGAGCAGTTTTGAAACCCTCTTTCTTTGGAATCTGCAAGGGGATATGTGGACCTCTTTGAAGATTTCACTGGAAACGGGATCATCTTCACATAAAAACTAAACAGAAGCATTCTCGGAAACTACTTTGTGATGTTTGTATTCAACTCCCAGAGTTGAACTTTCCTTTTGAAAGAGCAGCTATGAAACACTCCTTTTCGAGAATCTGCAAGTGGACGTTTGGAGGGCTTTGAGGCCTGTGGTGGAAAAGGAAATATCTTCACATAAAAACTAGATAGAAGCATTCTCAGAAACGACTTTGTGAGGATGGCATTCAACTCATGGAGTTGAACAATCCTATTGATAGAGCAGATTGGAATCACTCTTTTTGTAGAATCTGCAAATGGAGATTTGGACTGCTTTGAGGCCTACGGTAGTATAGGAAGGAACTTCATATAAAAGGCAAACGGAAGCATTCTCAGAATATTCTTTGTGATGATGGAGTTTCACTCACAGAGCTGAACATGCCTTTTGATGGAGCAGTTTCCAAATACACTTTTGGTAGAATCTGCAGGTGGATATTTGGAGCTCTCTGAGGATTTCGTTGGAAACGGGAATAATTTCCCATAACTAAACACAAACACTCTGAGAAAGTTCTTCATGATGAATGCATTTAACTCGCAGAGATGAACCTGCCTTTGAGAGTTCAGGTTCGAAACACTCTTTCTGTAGAATCTGCAAGTGGATATTTGGACCACTGGGTGGCCTTCGTTCGAAACGGGTATATGTTCACGTAAAAACTAAAGAGAAGCATTCTCAGAAACTTCTGAGTGATGATTGCATTCAAGTCACACAGTTGAACCCTCCTTTTGATGGAGCAGTTTTGAAACTGTCTTTTTGTAGAATCTGTAAGTGGATACGTGGACCTCTTTGAAGATTTCTTTGGAAACGGGAATATTTCCACAGAAAAACTAAACTGAAGCATTCTCAGAAACTGCTTTGTGATGTTTGTGTTCGAGCCACAGAGTTTAACATTGCTTTTCATAGAGCAGTTTTGAAATATTCTTTTGGCAGAATCTGCAAGTGGACATTTGGAGCGCTTTCAGGCCTGTGGTGGAAAAGGCCTGAAAGCCTTTTCCTTTATCTTCACAGAAAGACGAGAGAGAAGCATTGTCAGAAACTTCTTTGTGATGATTGCATTCAACTCACAGAGTTGAAGATTCCTTTTGAAACAGCAGTTTCGATACACTCTTTCTGTGGGATCCGCAAGGGGATATTTGGACCTCTTTGAAGGTTTCGTTGGAAACGGGATAATCTTCACCTAAAAGCTAAACGGAAGCATTCTCAGAAACTTCTTTGGGATGTTTGCATTCACCTCACAGAGTTGAACTTTCCCTTTGATAGCGCAGCTTTGACACACTTTTTCTACAATGTGCAAGTGGCTATTTAGCGGGCTTGGAGGACTGTGTTGGAAAAGGAAATATCTTCTCCTAAAAACGACATAGAAGCATTCTCAGAAACTGCTCTGTGATGATTGCATTCAACTCCCAGAGTTGAACATTCCTTTTGATAGAGCAGTTTGCAAACACTCTTTTTGTAGAATCTGCAAGTGGAGATTTGGACCGCTTTGAGGCCTGTGGTAGTGAAGGAAAGAACTTCATATAAAAACCAGACGGTAGCACTCTCAGAAAATTCTTTGTGACGATGGAGTTTAACTCAGGGAGCTGAACATTCGTTATGATGGAGCAGTTTCCAAACACACGTTTTGTAGAATCTGCAAGGGGATATTTGGACCTCTCTGAGGATTTCGTTGGAAACGGGATCAACTTCCCATAACTGAACGGAAGCAAACTCAGAACATTCTTTGTGATGTTTGTATTCAACTCACAGAGTTGAACCTTCCTTTGATAGTTCAGGTTTGCAACACCCTTGTAGTAGAATCTGCAAGTGTATATTTTGACCACTTTGTAGCCTTCGTTTGAAACGTCTATATCTTCATATCAAACCTAGACAGAAGCATTCTCAGAAAGTTTTCTGCGATGACTGCATTCAACTCACAGAGTTGAACAATCCTTCTGATGGAGCAGTTTTGAAACCCTCTTTCTTTGGAATCTGCAAGGGGATATGTGGACCTCTTTGAAGATTTCACTGGAAACGGGATCATCTTCACATAAAAACTAAACAGAAGCATTCTCGGAAACTACTTTGTGATGTTTGTATTCAACTCCCAGAGTTGAACTTTCCTTTTGAAAGAGCAGCTATGAAACACTCTTTTTCGAGAATCTGCAAGTGGACGTTTGGAGGGCTTTGAGGCCTGTGGTGGAAAAGGAAATATCTTCACATAAAAACTAGATAGAAGCATTCTCAGAAACTACTTTGTGAGGATGGCATTCAACTCATGGAGTTGAACAATCCTATTGATAGAGCAGATTGGAATCACTCTTTTTGTAGAATCTGCAAATGGAGATTTGGACTGCTTTGAGGCCTACGGTCGTATACGAAGGAACTTCATATAAAAGGCAAACGGAAGCATTCTCAGAATATTCTTTGTGATGATGGAGTTTCACTCACAGAGCTGAACATGCCTTTTGATGGAGCAGTTTCCAAATACACTTTTGGTAGAATCTGCAGGTGGATATTTGGACCTCTCTGAGGATTTCGTTGGAAACGGGAATAATTTCCCATAACTAAACACAAACACTCTGAGAAAGTTCTTCATGATGAATGCATTTAACTCGCAGAGATGAACCTGCCTTTGAGAGTTCATGTTCGAAACACTCTTTCTGTAGAATCTGCAAGTGGATATTTGGACCACTGGCTGGCCTTCGTTCGAAACGGGTATATGTTCACGTAAAAACTAAAGAGAAGCATTCTCAGAAACTTCTGAGTGATGATTGCATTCAAGTCACACAGTTGAACCCTCCTTTTGATGGAGCAGTTTTGAAACTGTCTTTTTGTAGAATCTGTAAGTGGATACGTGGACCTCTTTGAAGATTTCTTTGGAAACGGGAATATTTCCACAGAAAAACTAAACTGAAGCATTCTCAGAAACCGCTTTGTGATGTTTGTGTTCGAGCCACAGAGTTTAACATTGCTTTTCATAGAGCAGTTTTGAAATATTCTTTTCGCAGAATCTGCAAGTGGACATTTGGAGCGCTTTCAGGCCTGTGGTGGAAAAGGCCTGAAAGCCTTTTCCTTTATCTTCACAGAAAGACGAGAGAGAAGCATTGTCAGAAACTTCTTTGTGATGATTGCATTCAACTCACAGAGTTGAAGATTCCTTTTGAAACAGCAGTTTCGAAACACTCTTTCTGTGGGATCCGCAAGGGGATATTTGGACCTCTTTGAAGGTTTCGTTGGAAACGGGATAATCTTCACCTAAAAGCTAAACGGAAGCATTCTCAGAAACTTCTTTGGGATGTTTGCATTCACCTCACAGAGTTGAACTTTCCCTTTGATAGCGCAGCTTTGACACACTTTTTCTACAATGTGCAAGTGGCTATTTAGCGGGCTTGGAGGACTGTGTTGGAAAAGGAAATATCTTCTCCTAAAAACGACATAGAAGCATTCTCAGAAACTGCTCTGTGATGATTGCATTCAACTCCCAGAGTTGAACATTCCTTTTGATAGAGCAGTTTGCAAACACTCTTTTTGTAGAATCTGCAAGTGGAGATTTGGACCGCTTTGAGGCCTGTGGTAGTGAAGGAAAGAACTTCATATAAAAACCAGACGGTAGCACTCTCAGAAAATTCTTTGTGACGATGGAGTTTAACTCAGGGAGCTGAACATTCGTTATGATGGAGCAGTTTCCAAACACACGTTTTGTAGAATCTGCAAGGGGATATTTGGACCTCTCTGAGGATTTCGTTGGAAACGGGATCAACTTCCCATAACTGAACGGAAGCAAACTCAGAACATTCTTTGTGATGTTTGTATTCAATTCACAGAGTTGAACCTTCCTTTGATAGTTCACGTTTGCAACACCCTTGTAGTAGAATCTGCAAGTGTATATTTTGACCACTTTGTAGCCTTCGTTTGAAACGTCTATATCTTCACATCAAACCTAGACAGAAGCATTCTCAGAAAGTTTTCTGCGATGACTGCATTCAACTCACAGAGTTGAACAATCCTTCTGATGGAGCAGTTTTGAAACCCTCTTTCTTTGGAATCTGCAAGGGGATATGTGGACCTCTTTGAAGATTTCACTGGAAACGGGATCATCTTCACATAAAAACTAAACAGAAGCATTCTCGGAAACTACTTTGTGATGTTTGTATTCAACTCCCAGAGTTGAACTTTCCTTTTGAAAGAGCAGCTATGAAACACTCTTTTTCGAGAATCTGCAAGTGGACGTTTGGAGGGCTTGGAGGCCTGTGGTGGAAAAGGAAATACCTTCACATAAAAACTAGATAGAAGCATTCTCAGAAACTACTTTGTGAGGATGGCATTCAACTCATGGAGTTGAACAATCCTATTGATAGAGCAGATTGGAATCACTCTTTTTGTAGAATCTGCAAATGGAGATTTGGACTGCTTTGAGGCCTACGGTAGTACAGGAAGGAACTTCATATAAAAGGCAAACGGAAGCATTCTCAGAATATTCTTTGTGATGATGGAGTTTCACTGACAGAGCTGAACATGCCTTTTGATGGAGCAGTTTCCAAATACACTTTTGGTAGAATCTGCAGGTGGATATTTGGAGCTCTCTGAGGATTTCGTTGGAAACGGGAATAATTTCCCATAACTAAACACAAACACTCTGAGAAAGTTCTTCATGATGAATGCATTTAACTCGCAGAGATGAACCTGCCTTTGAGAGTTCAGGTTCGAAACACTCTTTCTGTATAATCTGCAAGTGGATATTTGGACCACTGGGTGGCCTTCGTTCGAAACGGGTATATGTTCACGTAAAAACTAAAGAGAAGCATTCTCAGAAACTTCTGAGTGATGATTGCATTCAAGTCACACAGTTGAACCCTCCTTTTGATGGAGCAGTTTTGAAACTGTCTTTTTGTAGAATCTGTAAGTGGATGCGTGGACCTCTTTGAAGATTTCTTTGGAAACGGGAATATTTCCACAGAAAAACTAAACTGAAGCATTCTCAGAAACTGCTTTGTGATGTTTGTGTTCGAGCCACAGAGTTTAACATTGCTTTTCATAGAGCAGTTTTGAAATATTCTTTTCGCAGAATCTGCAAGTGGACATTTGGAGCGCTTTCAGGCCTGTGGTGGCAAAGGCCTGAAAGCCTTTTCCTTTATCTTCACAGAAAGACGAGAGAGAAGCATTGTCAGAAACTTCTTTGTGATGATTGCATTCAACTCACAGAGTTGAAGATTCCTTTTGAAACAGCAGTTTCGAAACACTCTTTCTGTGGGATCCGCAAGGGGATATTTGGACCTCTTTGAAGGTTTCGTTGGAAACGGGATAATCTTCACCTAAAAGCTAAACGGAAGCATTCTCAGAAACTTCTTTGGGATGTTTGCATTCACCTCACAGAGTTGAACTTTCCCTTTGATAGCGCAGCTTTGACACACTTTTTCTACAATGTGCAAGTGGCTATTTAGCGGGCTTGGAGGACTGTGTTGGAAAAGGAAATATCTTCTCCTAAAAACGACATAGAAGCATTCTCAGAAACTGCTCTGTGATGATTGCATTCAACTCCCAGAGTTGAACATTCCTTTTGATAGAGCAGTTTGCAAACACTCTTTTTGTAGAATCTGCAAGTGGAGATTTGGACCGCTTTCAGGCCTGTGGTAGTGAAGGAAAGAGCTTCATATAAAAACCAGACGGTAGCACTCTCAGAAAATTCTTTGTGACGATGGAGTTTAACTCAGGGAGCTGAACATTCGTTATGATGGAGCAGTTTCCAAACACACGTTTTGTAGAATCTGCAAGGGGATATTTGGACCTCTCTGAGGATTTCGTTGGAAACGGGATCAACTTCCCATAACTGAACGGAAGCAAACTCAGAACATTCTTTGTGATGTTTGTATTCAACTCACAGAGTTGAACCTTCCTTTGATAGTTCAGGTTTGCAACACCCTTGTAGTAGAATCTGCAAGTGTATATTTTGACCACTTTGTAGCCTTCGTTTGAAACGTCTATATCTTCACATCAAACCTAGACAGAAGCATTCTCAGAAAGTTTTCTGCGATGACTGCATTCAACTCACAGAGTTGAACAATCCTTCTGATGGAGCAGTTTTGAAACCCTCTTTCTTTGGAATCTGCAAGGGGATATGTGGACCTCTTTGAAGATTTCACTGGAAACGGGATCATCTTCACATAAAAACTAAACAGAAGCATTCTCGGAAACTACTTTGTGATGTTTGTATTCAACTCCCAGAGTTGAACTTTCCTTTTGAAAGAGCAGCTATGAAACACTCTTTTTCGAGAATCTGCAAGTGGACGTTTGGAGGGCTTTGAGGCCTGTGGTGGAAAAGGAAATATCTTCACACAAAAACCAGATAGAAGCATTCTCAGAAACTACTTTGTGAGGATGGCATTCAACTCATGGAGTTGAACAATCCTATTGATAGAGCAGATTGGAATCACTCTTTTTGTAGAATCTGCAAATGGAGATTTGGACTGCTTTGAGGCCTACAGTAGTACAGGAAGGAACTTCATATAAAAGGCAAACGGAAGCATTCTCAGAATATTCTTTGTGATGATGGAGTTTCACTCACAGAGCTGAACATGCCTTTTGATGGAGCAGTTTCCAAATACACTTTTGGTAGAATCTGCAGGTGGATATTTGGAGCTCTCTGAGGATTTCGTTGGAAACGGGAATAATTTCCCATAACTAAACACAAACACTCTGAGAAAGTTCTTCATGATGAATGCATTTAACTCGCAGAGATGAACCTGCCTTTGAGAGTTCAGGTTCGAAACACTCTTTCTGTAGAATCTGCAAGTGGATATTTGGACCACTGGGTGGCCTTCGTTCGAAACGGGTATATGTTCACGTAAAAACTAAAGAGAAGCATTCTCAGAAACTTCTGAGTGATGATTGCATTCAAGTCACACAGTTGAACCCTCCTTTTGATGGAGCAGTTTTGAAACTGTCTTTTTGTAGAATCTGTAAGTGGATACGTGGACCTCTTTGAAGATTTCTTTGGAAACGGGAATATTTCCACAGAAAAACTAAACTGAAGCATTCTCAGAAACTGTTTTGTGATGTTTGTGTTCGAGCCGCAGAGTTTAACATTGCTTTTCATAGAGCAGTTTTGAAATATTCTTTTGGCAGAATCTGCAAGTGGACATTTGGAGCGCTTTCAGGCCTGTGGTGGAAAAGACCTGAAAGCCTTTTCCTTTATCTTCACAGAAAGACGAGAGAGAAGCATTGTCAGAAACTTCTTTGTGATGATTGCATTCAACTCACAGAGTTGAAGATTCCTTTTGAAACAGCAGTTTCGAAACACTCTTTCTGTGGGATCCGCAAGGGGATATTTGGACCTCTTTGAAGCTTTCGTTGGAAACGGGATAATCTTCACCTAAAAGCTAAACGGAAGCATTCTCAGAAACTTCTTTGGGATGTTTGCATTCACCTCACAGAGTTGAACTTTCCCTTTGATAGCGCAGCTTCGACACACTTTTTCTACAATGTGCAAGTGGATATTTAGCGGGCTTGGAGGACTGTGTTGGAAAAGGAAATATCTTCTCCTAAAAACGACATAGAAGCATTCTCAGAAACTGCTCTGTGATGATTGCATTCAACTCCCAGAGTTGAACATTCCTTTTGATAGAGCAGTTTGCAAACACTCTTTTTGTAGAATCTGCAAGTGGAGATTTGGACCGCTTTGAGGCCTGTGGTAGTAAAGGAAAGAACTTCATATAAAAACCAGACGGTAGCACTCTCAGAAAATTCTTTGTGACGATGGAGTTTAACTCAGAGAGCTGAACATTCGTTATGATGGAGCAGTTTCCAAACACACGTTTTGTAGAATCTGCAAGGGGATATTTGGACCTCTCTGAGGATTTCGTTGGGAACGGGATCAACTTCCCATAACTGAACGGAAGCAAACTCAGAACATTCTTTGTGATGTTTGTATTCAACTCACAGAGTTGAACCTTCCTTTGATAGTTCAGGTTTGCAACACCCTTGTAGTAGAATCTGCAAGTGTATATTTTGACCACTTTGTAGCCTTCGTTTGAAACGTCTATATCTTCACATCAAACCTAGAAAGAAGCATTCTCAGAAAGTTTTCTGCGATGACTGCATTCAACTCACAGAGTTGAACAATCCTTCTGATGGAGCAGTTTTGAAACCCTCTTTCTTTGGAATCTGCAAGGGGATATGTGGACCTCTTTGAAGATTTCACTGGAAACGGGATCATCTTCACATAAAAACTAAACAGAAGCATTCTCGGAAACTACTTTGTGATGTTTGTATTCAACTCCCAGAGTTGAACTTTCCTTTTGAAAGAGCAGCTATGAAACACTCTTTTTCGAGAATCTGCAAGTGGACGTTTGGAAGGCTTTGAGGCCTGTGGTGGAAAAGGAAATATCTTCACATAAAAACTAGATAGAAGCATTCTCAGAAACTACTTTGTGAGGATGGCATTCAACTCATGGAGTTGAACAATCCTATTGATAGAGCAGATTGGAATCACTCTTTTTGTAGAATCTGCAAACGGAGATTTGGACTGCTTTGAGGCCTACGGTAGTATAGGAAGGAACTTCATATAAAAGGCAAACGGAAGCATTCTCAGAATATTCTTTGTGATGATGGAGTTTCACTCACAGAGCTGAACATGCCTTTTGATGGAGCAGTTTCCAAATACACTTTTGGTAGAATCTGCAGGTGGATATTTGGAGCTCTCTGAGGATTTCGTTGGAAACGGGAATAATTTCCCATAACTAAACACAAACACTCTGAGAAAGTTCTTCATGATGAATGCATTTAACTCGCAGAGATGAACCTGCCTTTGAGAGTTCAGGTTCGAAACACTCTTTCTGTAGAATCTGCAAGTGGATATTTGGACCACTGGGTGGCCTTCGTTCGAAACGGGTATATGTTCACATAAAAACTAAAGAGAAGCATTCTCAGAAACTTCTGAGTGATGATTGCATTCAAGTCACACAGTTGAACCCTCCTTTTGATGGAGCAGTTTTGAAACTGTCTTTTTGTAGAATCTGTAAGTGGATACGTGGACCTCTTTGAAGATTTCTTTGGAAACGGGAATATTTCCACAGAAAAACTAAACTGAAGCATTCTCAGAAACCGCTTTGTGATGTTTGTGTTCGAGCCGCAGAGTTTAACATTGCTTTTCATAGAGCAGTTTTGAAATATTCTTTTCGCAGAATCTGCAAGTGGACATTTGGAGCGCTTTCAGGCCTGTGGTGGAAAAGGCCTGAAAGCCTTTTCCTTTATCTTCACAGAAAGACGAGAGAGAAGCATTGTCAGAAACTTCTTTGTGATGATTGCATTCAACTCACAGAGTTGAAGATTCCTTTTGAAACAGCAGTTTTGAAACACTCTTTCTGTGGGATCCGCAAGGGGATATTTGGACCTCTTTGAAGGTTTCGTTGGAAACGGGATAATCTTCACCTAAAAGCTAAACGGAAGCATTCTCAGAAACTTCTTTGGGATGTTTGCATTCACCTCACAGAGTTGAACTTTCCCTTTGATAGCGCAGCTTTGACACACTTTTTCTACAATGTGCAAGTGGCTATTTAGCGGGCTTGGAGGACTGTGTTGGAAAAGGAAATATCTTCTCCTAAAAACGACATAGAAGCATTCTCAGAAACTGCTCTGTGATGATTGCATTCAACTCCCAGAGTTGAACATTCCTTTTGATAGAGCAGTTTGCAAACACTCTTTTTGTAGAATCTGCAAGTGGAGATTTGGACCGCTTTGAGGTCTGTGGTAGTGAAGGAAAGAACTTCATATAAAAACCAGACGGTAGCACTCTCAGAAAATTCTTTGTGACGATGGAGTTTAACTCAGGGAGCTGAACATTCGTTATGATGGAGCAGTTTCCAAACACACGTTTTGTAGAATCTGCAAGGGGATATTTGGACCTCTCTGAGGATTTCGTTGGAAACGGGATCAACTTCCCATAACTGAACGGAAGCAAACTCAGAACATTCTTTGTGATGTTTGTATTCAACTCACAGAGTTGAACCTTCCTTTGATAGTTCAGGTTTGCAACACCCTTGTAGTAGAATCTGCAAGTGTATATTTTGACCACTTTGTAGCCTTCGTTTGAAACGTCTATATCTTCACATCAAACCTAGACAGAAGCATTCTCAGAAAGTTTTCTGCGATGACTGCATTCAACTCACAGAGTTGAACAATCCTTCTGATGGAGCAGTTTTGAAACCCTCTTTCTTTGGAATCTGCAAGGGGATATGTGGACCTCTTTGAAGATTTCACTGGAAACGGGATCATCTTCACATAAAAACTAAACAGAAGCATTCTCGGAAACTACTTTGTGATGTTTGTATTCAACTCCCAGAGTTGAACTTTCCTTTTGAAAGAGCAGCTATGAAACACTCTTTTTCGAGAATCTGCAAGTGGACGTTTGGAGGGCTTTGAGGCCTGTGGTGGAAAAGGAAATATCTTCACATAAAAACTAGATAGAAGCATTCTCAGAAACGACTTTGTGAGGATGGCATTCAACTCATGGAGTTGAACAATCCTATTGATAGAGCAGATTGGAATCACTCTTTTTGTAGAATCTGCAAATGGAGATTTGGACTGCTTTGAGGCCTACGGTCGTATAGGAAGGAACTTCATATAAAAGGCAAACGGAAGCATTCTCAGAATATTCTTTGTGATGATGGAGTTTCACTCACAGAGCTGAACATGCCTTTTGATGGAGCAGTTTCCAAATACACTTTTGGTAGAATCTGCAGGTGGATATTTGGAGCTCTCTGAGGATTTCGTTGGAAACGGGAATAATTTCCCATAACTAAACACAAACACTCTGAGAAAGTTCTTCATGATGAATGCATTTAACTCGCAGAGATGAACCTGCCTTTGAGAGTTCAGGTTCGAAACACTCTTTCTGTAGAATCTGCAAGTGGATATTTGGACCACTGGCTGGCCTTCGTTCGAAACGGGTATATGTTCACGTAAAAACTAAAGAGAAGCATTCTCAGAAACTTCTGAGTGATGATTGCATTCAAGTCACACAGTTGAACCCTCCTTTTGATGGAGCAGTTTTGAAACTGTCTTTTTGTAGAATCTGTAAGTGGATACGTGGACCTCTTTGAAGATTTCTTTGGAAACGGGAATATTTCCACAGAAAAACTAAACTGAAGCATTCTCAGAAACTGCTTTGTGATGTTTGTGTTCGAGCGACAGAGTTTAACATTGCTTTTCATAGAGCAGTTTTGAAATATTCTTTTGGCAGAATCTGCAAGTGGACATTTGGAGCGCTTTCAGGCCTGTGGTGGAAAAGGCCTGAAAGCCTTTTCCTTTATCTTCACAGAAAGACGAGAGAGAAGCATTGTCAGAAACTTCTTTGTGATGATTGCATTCAACTCACAGAGTTGAAGATTCCTTTTGAAACAGCAGTTTCGAAACACTCTTTCTGTGGGATCCGCAAGGGGATATTTGGACCTCTTTGAAGGTTTCGTTGGAAACGGGATAATCTTCACCTAAAAGCTAAACGGAAGCATTCTCAGAAACTTCTTTGGGATGTTTGCATTCACCTCACAGAGTTGAACTTTCCCTTTGATAGCGCAGCTTTGACACACTTTTTCTACAATGTGCAAGTGGCTATTTAGCGGGCTTGGAGGACTGTGTTGGAAAAGGAAATATCTTCTCCTAAAAACGACATAGAAGCATTCTCAGAAACTGCTCTGTGATGATTGCATTCAACTCCCAGAGTTGAACATTCCTTTTGATAGAGCAGTTTGCAAACACTCTTTTTGTAGAATCTGCAAGTGGAGATTTGGACCGCTTTGAGGCCTGGGGTAGTGAAGGAAAGAACTTCATATAAAAACCAGACGGTAGCACTCTCAGAAAATTCTTTGTGACGATGGAGTTTAACTCAGGGAGCTGAACATTCATTATGATGGAGCAGTTTCCAAACACACGTTTTGTAGAATCTGCAAGGGGATATTTGGACCTCTCTGAGGATTTCGTTGGAAACGGGATCAACTTCCCATAACTGAACGGAAGCAAACTCAGAACATTCTTTGTGATGTTTGTATTCAACTCACAGAGTTGAACCTTCCTTTGATAGTTCAGGTTTGCAACACCCTTGTAGTAGAATCTGCAAGTGTATATTTTGACCACTTTGTAGCCTTCATTTGAAACGTCTATATCTTCACATCAAACCTAGACAGAAGCATTCTCAGAAAGTTTTCTGCGATGACTGCATTCAACTCACAGAGTTGAACAATCCTTCTGATGGAGCAGTTTTGAAACCCTCTTTCTTTGGAATCTGCAAGGGGATATGTGGACCTCTTTGAAGATTTCACTGGAAACGGGATCATCTTCACATAAAAACTAAACAGAAGCATTCTCGGAAACTACTTTGTGATGTTTGTATTCAACTCCCAGAGTTGAACTTTCCTTTTGAAAGAGCAGCTATGAAACACTCTTTTTCGAGAATCTGCAAGTGGACGTTTGGAGGGCTTGGAGGCCTGTGGTGGAAAAGGAAATACCTAAACATAAAAACTAGATAGAAGCATTCTCAGAAACTACTTTGTGAGGATGGCATTCAACTCATGGAGTTGAACAATCCTATTGATAGAGCAGATTGGAATCACTCTTTTTGTAGAATCTGCAAATGGAGATTTGGACTGCTTTGAGGCCTACGGTCGTATAGGAAGGAACTTCATATAAAAGGCAAACGGAAGCATTCTCAGAATATTCTTTGTGATGATGGAGTTTCACTCACAGAGCTGAACATGCCTTTTGATGGAGCAGTTTCCAAATACACTTTTGGTAGAATCTGCAGGTGGATATTTGGAGCTCTTTGAGGATTTCGTTGGAAACGGGAATAATTTCCCATAACTAAACACAAACACTCTGAGAAAGTTCTTCATGATGAATGCATTTAACTCGCAGAGATGAACCTGCCTTTGAGAGTTCAGGTTCGAAACACTCTTTCTGTATAATCTGCAAGTGGATATTTGGACCACTGGGTGGCCTTCGTTCGAAACGGGTATATGTTCACGTAAAAACTAAAGAGAAGCATTCTCAGAAACTTCTGAGTGATGATTGCATTCAAGTCACACGGTTGAACCCTCCTTTTGATGGAGCAGTTTTGAAACTGTCTTTTTGTAGAATCTGTAAGTGGATACGTGGACCTCTTTGAAGATTTCTTTGGAAACGGGAATATTTCCACAGAAAAACTAAACTGAAGCATTCTCAGAAACCGCTTTGTGATGTTTGTGTTCCAGCCACAGAGTTTAACATTGCTTTTCATAGAGCAGTTTTGAAATATTCTTTTCGCAGAATCTGCAAGTGGACATTTGGAGCGCTTTCAGGCCTGTGGTGGCAAAGGCCTGAAAGCCTTTTCCTTTATCTTCACAGAAAGACGAGAGAGAAGCATTGTCAGAAACTTCTTTGTGATGATTGCATTCAACTCACAGAGTTGAAGATTCCTTTTGAAACAACAGTTTCGAAACACTCTTTCTGTGGGATCCGCAAGGGGATATTTGGACCTCTTTGAAGGTTTCGTTGGAAACGGGATAATCTTCACCTAAAAGCTAAACGGAAGCATTCTCAGAAACTTCTTTGGGATGTTTGCATTCACCTCACAGAGTTGAACTTTCCCTTTGATAGCGCAGCTTTGACACACTTTTTCTACAATGTGCAAGTGGCTATTTAGCGGGCTTGGAGGACTGTGTTGGAAAAGGAAATATCTTCTAAAAACGACATAGAAGCATTCTCAGAAACTGCTCTGTGATGATTGCATTCAACTCCCAGAGTTGAACATTCCTTTTGATAGAGCAGTTTGCAAACACTCTTTTTGTAGAATCTGCAAGTGGAGATTTGGACCGCTTTGAGGCCTGTGGTAGTGAAGGAAAGAACTTCATATAAAAACCAGACGGTAGCACTCTCAGAAAATTCTTTGTGACGATGGAGTTTAACTCAGGGAGCTGAACATTCGTTATGATGGAGCAGTTTCCAAACACACGTTTTGTAGAATCTGTGAGGGGATATTTGGACCTCTCTGAGGATTTCGTTGGAAACGGGATCAACTTCCCATAACTGAACGGAAGCAAACTCAGAACATTCTTTGTGATGTTTGTATTCAACTCACAGAGTTGAACCTTCCTTTGATAGTTCAGGTTTGCAACACCCTTGTAGTAGAATCTGCAAGTGTATATTTTGACCACTTTGTAGCCTTCGTTTGAAACGTCTATATCTTCACATCAAACCTAGACAGAAGCATTCTCAGAAAGTTTTCTGCGATGACTGCATTCAACTCACAGAGTTGAACAATCCTTCTGATGGAGCAGTTTTGAAACCCTCTTTCTTTGGAATCTGCAAGGGGATATGTGGACCTCTTTGAAGATTTCACTGGAAACGGGATCATCTTCACATAAAAACTAAACAGAAGCATTCTCGGAAACTACTTTGTGATGTTTGTATTCAACTCCCAGAGTTGAACTTTCCTTTTGAAAGAGCAGCTATGAAACACTCTTTTTCGAGAATCTGCAAGTGGACGTTTGGAGGGCTTTGAGGCCTGTGGTGGAAAAGGAAATATCTTCACATAAAAACTAGATAGAAGCATTCTCAGAAACTACTTTGTGAGGATGGCATTCAACTCATGGAGTTGAACAATCCTATTGATAGAGCAGATTGGAATCACTCTTTTTGTAGAATCTGCAAATGGAGATTTGGACTGCTTTGAGGCCTACGGTAGTACAGGAAGGAACTTCATATAAAAGGCAAACGGAAGCATTCTCAGAATATTCTTTGTGATGATGGAGTTTCACTCACAGAGCTGAACATGCCTTTTGATGGAGCAGTTTCCAAATACACTTTTGGTAGAATCTGCAGGTGGATATTTGGAGCTCTCTGAGGATTTCGTTGGAAACGGGAATAATTTCCCATAACTAAACACAAACACTCTGAGAAAGTTCTTCATGATGAATGCATTTAACTCGCAGAGATGAACCTGCCTTTGAGAGTTCAGGTTCGAAACACTCTTTCTGTAGAATCTGCAAGTGGATATTTGGACCACTGGCTGGCCTTCGTTCGAAACGGGTATATGTTCACGTAAAAACTAAAGAGAAGCATTCTCAGAAACTTCTGAGTGATGATTGCATTCAACTCACACAGTTGAACCCTCCTTTTGATGGAGCAGTTTTGAAACTGTCTTTTTGTAGAATCTGTAAGTGGATACGTGGACCTCTTTGAAGATTTCTTTGGAAACGGGAATATTTCCACAGAAAAACTAAACTGAAGCATTCTCAGAAACCGCTTTGTGATGTTTGTGTTCGAGCCACAGAGTTTAACATTGCTTTTCATAGAGCAGTTTTGAAATATTCTTTTGGCAGAATCTGCAAGTGGACATTTGGAGCGCTTTCAGGCCTGTGGGTGGAAAAGGCCTGAAAGCCTTTTCCTTTACCTTCACAGAAAGACGAGAGAGAAGCATTGTCAGAAACTTCTTTGTGATGATTGCATTCAACTCACAGAGTTGAAGATTCCTTTTGAAACAGCAGTTTCGAAACACTCTTTCTGTGGGATCCGCAAGGGGATATTTGGACCTCTTTGAAGGTTTCGTTGGAAACGGGATAATCTTCACCTAAAAGCTAAACGGAAGCATTCTCAGAAACTTCTTTGGGATGTTTGCATTCACCTCACAGAGTTGAACTTTCCCTTTGATAGCGCAGCTTTGACACACTTTTTCTACAATGTGCAAGTGGCTATTTAGCGGGCTTGGAGGACTGTGTTGGAAAAGGAAATATCTTCTCCTAAAAACGACATAGAAGCATTCGCAGAAACTGCTCTGTGATGATTGCATTCAACTCCCAGAGTTGAACATTCCTTTTGATAGAGCAGTTTGCAAACACTCTTTTTGTAGAATCTGCAAGTGGAGATTTGGACCGCTTTGAGGCCTGTGGTAGTGAAGGAAAGAACTTCATATAAAAACCAGACGGTTAGCACTCTCAGAAAATTCTTTGTGACGATGGAGTTTAACTCAGCAGAGCTGAACATTCGTTATGATGGAGCAGTTTCCAAACACACGTTTTGTAGAATCTGCAAGGGGATATTTGGACCTCTCTGAGGATTTCGTTGGAAACGGGATCAACTTCCCATAACTGAACGGAGCAAACTCAGAACATTCTTTGTGATGTTTGTATTCAACTCACAGAGTTGAACCTTCCTTTGATAGTTCAGGTTTGCAACACCCTTGTAGTAGAATCTGCAAGTGTATATTTTGACCACTTTGTAGCCTTCGTTTGAAACGTCTATATCTTCACATCAAACCTAGACAGAAGCATTCTCAGAAAGTTTTCTGCGATGACTGCATTCAACTCACAGAGTTGAACAATCCTTCTGATGGAGCAGTTTTGAAACCCTCTTTCTTTGGAATCTACAAGGGGATATGTGGACCTCTTTGAAGATTTCACTGGAAACGGGATCATCTTCACATAAAAACTAAACAGAAGCATTCTCGGAAACTACTTTGTGATGTTTGTATTCAACTCCCAGAGTTGAACTTTCCTTTTGAAAGAGCAGCTATGAAACACTCTTTTTCGAGAATCTGCAAGTGGACGTTTGGAGGGCTTTGAGGCCTGTGGTGGAAAAGGAAATATCTTCACATAAAAACTAGATAGAAGCATTCTCAGAAACGACTTTGTGAGGATGGCATTCAACTCATGGAGTTGAACAATCCTATTGATAGAGCAGATTGGAATCACTCTTTTTGTAGAATCTGCAAATGGAGATTTGGACTGCTTTGAGGCCTACGGTCGTATAGGAAGGAACTTCATATAAAAGGCAAACGGAAGCATTCTCAGAATATTCTTTGTGATGATGGAGTTTCACTCACAGAGCTGAACATGCCTTTTGATGGAGCAGTTTCCAAATACACTTTTGGTAGAATCTGCAGGTGGATATTTGGAGCTCTCTGAGGATTTCGTTGGAAACGGGAATAATTTCCCATAACTAAACACAAACACTCTGAGAAAGTTCTTCATGATGAATGCATTTAACTCGCAGAGATGAACCTGCCTTTGAGAGTTAATGTTCGAAACACTCTTTCTGTAGAATCTGCAAGTGGATATTTGGACCACTGGCTGGCCTTCGTTCGAAACGGGTATATGTTCACGTAAAAACTAAAGAGAAGCATTCTCAGAAACTTCTGAGTGATGATTGCATTCAAGTCACACAGTTGAACCCTCCTTTTGATGGAGCAGTTTTGAAACTGTCTTTTTGTAGAATCTGTAAGTGGATACGTGGACCTCTTTGAAGATTTCTTTGGAAACGGGAATATTTCCACAGAAAAACTAAACTGAAGCATTCTCAGAAACTGCTTTGTGATGTTTGTGTTCGAGCCACAGAGTTTAACATTGCTTTTCATAGAGCAGTTTTGAAATATTCTTTTGGCAGAATCTGCAAGTGGACATTTAGAGCGCTTTCAGGCCTGTGGTGGAAAAGGCCTGAAAGCCTTCTCCTTTAACTTCACAGAAAGACGAGAGAGAAGCATTGTCAGAAACTTCTTTGTGATGATTGCATTCAACTCACAGAGTTGAAGATTCCTTTTGAAACAGCAGTTTCGAAACACTCTTTCTGTGGGATCCGCAAGGGGATATTTGGACCTCTTTGAAGGTTTCGTTGGAAACGGGATAATCTTCACCTAAAAGCTAAACGGAAGCATTCTCAGAAACTTCTTTGGGATGTTTGCATTCACCTCACAGAGTTGAACTTTCCCTTTGATAGCGCAGCTTTGACACACTTTTTCTACAATGTGCAAGTGGCTATTTAGCGGGCTTGGAGGACTGTGTTGGAAAAGGAAATATCTTCTCCTAAAAACGACATAGAAGCATTCTCAGAAACTGCTCTGTGATGATTGCATTCAACTCCCAGAGTTGAACATTCCTTTTGATAGAGCAGTTTGCAAACACTCTTTTTGTAGAATCTGCAAGTGGAGATTTGGACCGCTTTGAGGCCTGTGGTAGTGAAGGAAAGAACTTCATATAAAAACCAGACGGTAGCACTCTCAGAAAATTCTTTGTGACGATGGAGTTTAACTCAGGGAGCTGAACATTCGTTATGATGGAGCAGTTTCCAAACACACGTTTTGTAGAATCTGCGAGGGGATATTTGGACCTCTCTGAGGATTTCGTTGGAAACGGGATCAACTTCCCATAACTGAACGGAAGCAAACTCAGAACATTCTTTGTGATGTTTGTATTCAACTCACAGAGTTGAACCTTCCTTTGATAGTTCAGGTTTGCAACACCCTTGTAGTAGAATCTGCAAGTGTATATTTTGACCACTTTGTAGCCTTCGTTTGAAACGTCTATATCTTCACATCAAACCTAGACAGAAGCATTCTCAGAAAGTTTTCTGCGATGACTGCATTCAACTCACAGAGTTGAACAATCCTTCTGATGGAGCAGTTTTGAAACCCTCTTTCTTTGGAATCTGCAAGGGGATATGTGGACCTCTTTGAAGATTTCACTGGAAACGGGATCATCTTCACATAAAAACTAAACAGAAGCATTCTCGGAAACTACTTTGTGATGTTTGTATTCAACTCCCAGAGTTGAACTTTCCTTTTGAAAGAGCAGCTATGAAACACTCTTTTTCGAGAATCTGCAAGTGGACGTTTGGAGGGCTTTGAGGCCTGTGGTGGAAAAGGAAATATCTTCACATAAAAACCAGATAGAAGCATTCTCAGAAACGACTTTGTGAGGATGGCATTCAACTCATGGAGTTGAACAATCCTATTGATAGAGCAGATTGGAATCACTCTTTTTGTAGAATCTGCAAATGGAGATTTGGACTGCTTTGAGGCCTACGGTCGTATAGGAAGGAACTTCAGATAAAAGGCAAACGGAAGCATTCTCAGAATATTCTTTGTGATGATGGAGTTTCACTCACAGAGCTGAACATGCCTGTTGATGGAGCAGTTTCCAAATACACTTTTGGTAGAATCTGCAGGTGGACATTTGGACCTCTCTGAGGATTTCGTTGGAAACGGGAATAATTTCCCATAACTAAACACAAACACGCTGAGAAAGTTCTTCATGATGAATGCATTGAACTCGCAGAGATGAACCTGCCTCTGAGAGTTCAGGTTCGAAACACTCTTTCTGTAGAATCTGCAAGTGGATATTTGGACCACTGGGTGGCCTTCGTTCGAAACGGTTATATGTTCACGTAAAAACTAAAGAGAAGCGTTCTCAGAAACTTCTGAGTGATGATTGCATTCAAGTCACACAGTTGAACCCTCCTTTTGATTGAGCAGTTTTGAAACTGTCTTTTTGTAGAATCTGTAAGTGGATGCGTGGACCTCTTTGAAGATTTCTTTGGAAACGGGAATATTTCCACAGAAAAACTAAACTGAAGCATTCTCAGAAACTGCTTTGTGATGTTTGTGTTCGAGCCGCAGAGTTTAACATTGCTTTTCATAGAGCAGTTTTGAAATATTCTTTTGGCAGAATCTGCAAGTGGACATTTGGAGCGCTTTCAGGCCTGTGGTGGAAAAGGCCTGAAAGCCTTTTCCTTTATCTTCACAGAAAGACGAGAGAGAAGCATTGTCAGAAACTTCTTTGTGATGATTGCATTCAACTCACAGAGTTGAAGATTCCTTTTGAAACAGCAGTTTCGAAACACTCTTTCTGTGGGATCCGCAGGGGGATATTTGGACCTCTTTGAAGATTTCGTTGGAAACGGGATAATCTTCACCTAAAAGCTAAACGGAAGTATTCTCAGAAACTTCTTTGGGATGTTTGCATTCACCTCACAGAGTTGAACTTTCCCTTTGATAGCGCAGCTTCGACACACTTTTTCTACAATGTGCAAGTGGATATTTAGCGGGCTTGGAGGACTGTGTTGGAAAAGGAAATATCTTCTCCTAAAAACGACATAGAAGCATTCTCAGAAACTGCTCTGTGATGATTGCTTTCAACTCCCAGAGTTGAACATTCCTTTTGATAGAGCAGTTTGCAAACACTCTTTTTGTAGAATCTGCAAGTGGAGATTTGGACCGCTTTGAGGCCTGTGGTAGTAAAGGAAACAACTTCATATAAAAACCAGAGGGTAGCACTCTCAGAAAATTCTTTGTGACGATGGAGTTTAACTCAGAGAGCTGAACATCCGTTATGATGGAGCAGTTTCCAAACACACGTTTTGTAGAATCTGCAAGGGGATATTTGGACCTCTCTGAGGATTTCGTTGGAAACGGGATCAACTTCCCATAACTGAACGGAAGCAAACTCAGAACATTCTTTGTGATGTTTGTATTCAACTCACAGAGTTGAACCTTCCTTTGATAGTTGAGGTTTGCATCACCCTTGTAGTAGAATCTGCAAGTGTATATTTTGACCACTTTGTAGCCTTCGTTTGAAACGTCTATATCTTCACATCAAACCTAGACAGAAGCATTCTCAGAAAGTTTTCTGCGATGACTGCATTCAACTCACAGAGTTGAACAATCCTTTTGATGGAGCAGTTTTGAAACCCTCTTTCTTTGGAATCTGCAAGGGGATATGTGGACCTCTTTGAAGATTTCACTGGAAACGGGATCATCTTCACATAAGAACTAAACAGAAGCATTCTCGGAAACTACTTTGTGATGTTTGTATTCAACTCCCAGAGTTGAACTTTCCTTTTGAAAGAGCAGCTATGAAACACTCTTTTTCGAGAATCTGCAAGTGGACGTTTGGAGGGCTTTGAGGCCTGTGGTGGAAAAGGAAATATCTTCACATAAAAACTAGATAGAAGCATTCTCAGAGACTACTTTGTGAGGATGGCATTCAACTCATGGAGTTGAACAATCCTATTGATAGAGCAGATTGGAATCACTCTTTTTGTAGGATCTGCAAATGGAGATTTGGACTGCTTTGAGGCCTACGGTAGTATAGGAAGGAACTTCATATAAAAGGCAAACGGAAGCATTCTCAGAATATTCTTTGTGATGATGGAGTTTCACTCACAGAGCTGAACATGCCTTTTGATGGAGCAGTTTCCAAATACACTTTTGGTAGAATCTGCAGGTGGATATTTGGACCTCTCTGAGGATTTCGTTGGAAACGGCAATAATTTCCCATACCTAAACACAAACACTCTGAGAAAGTTCTTCATGATGAATGCATTTAACTCGCAGAGATGAACCTGCCTTTGAGAGTTCAGGTTCGAAACACTCTTTCTGTAGAATCTGCAAGTGGATATTTGGACCACTGGGTGGCCTTCGTTCGAAACGGGTATATGTTCACGTAAAAACTAAAGAGAAGCATTCTCAGAAACTTCTGAGTGATGATTGCATTCAAGTCACACGGTTGAACCCTCCTTTTGATTGAGCAGTTTTGAAACTGTCTTTTTGTAGAATCTGTAAGTGGATACGTGGACCTCTTTGAAGATTTCTTTCGAAACGGGAATATTTCCACAGAAAAACTAAACTGAAGCATTCTCAGAAACTGCTTTGTGATGTTTGTGTTCGAGCCACAGAGTTTAACATTGCTTTTCATAGAGCAGTTTTGAAATATTCTTTTGGCAGAATCTGCAAGTGGACATTTGGAGCGCTTTCAGGCCTGTGGTGGAAAAGGCCTGAAAGCCTTTTCCTTTATCTTCACAGAAAGACGAGAGAGAAGCATTGTCAGAAACTTCTTTGTGATGATTGCATTCAACTCACAGAGTTGAAGATTCCTTTTGAAACAGCAGTTTCGAAACACTCTTTCTGTGGGATCCGCAAGGGGATATTTGGACCTCTTTGAAGATTTCGTTGGAAACGGGATAATCTTCACCTAAAAGCTAAACGGAAGCATTCTCAGAAACTTCTTTGGGATGTTTGCATTCACCTCACAGAGTTGAACTTTCCCTTTGATAGCGCAGCTTCGACACACTTTTTCTACAATGTGCAAGTGGCTATTTAGCGGGCTTGGAGGACTGTGTTGGAAAAGGAAATATCTTCTCCTAAAAACGACATAGAAGCATTCTCAGAAACTGCTCTGTGATGATTGCATTCAACTCCCAGAGTTGAACATTCCTTTTGATAGAGCAGTTTGCAAACACTCTTTTTGTAGAATCTGCAAGTGGAGATTTGGACCGCTTTGAGGCCTGTGGTAGTGAAGGAAAGAACTTCATATAAAAACCAGACGGTAGCACTCTCAGAAAATTCTTTGTGACGATGGAGTTTAACTCAGGGAGCTGAACATTCGTTATGATGGAGCAGTTTCCAAACACACGTTTTGTAGAATCTGCAAGGGGATATTTTGACCTCTCTGAGGATTTCGTTGGAAACGGGATCAACTTCCCATAACTGAACGGAAGCAAACTCAGAACATTCTTTGTGATGTTTGTATTCAACTCACAGAGTTGAACCTTCCTTTGATAGTTCAGGTTTGCAACACCCTTGTAGTAGAATCTGCAAGTGTATATTTTGACCACTTTGTAGCCTTCATTTGAAATGTCTATACCTTCACATCAAACCTAGACAGAAGCATTCTCAGAAAGTTTTCTGCGATGACTGCATTCAACTCACAGAGTTGAACAATCCTTCTGATGGAGCAGTTTTGAAACCCTCTTTCTTTGGAATCTGCAAGGGGATATGTGGACCTCTTTGAAGATTTCACTGGAAACGGGATCATCTTCACATAAAAACTAAACAGAAGCATTCTCGGAAACTACTTTGTGATGTTTGTATTCAACTCCCAGAGTTGAACTTTCCTTTTGAAAGAGCAGCTATGAAACACTCTTTTTCGAAAATCTGCAAGTGGACGTTTGGAGGGCTTTGAGGCCTGTGGTGGAAAAGGAAATATCTTCACATAAAAACTAGATAGAAGCATTCTCAGAAACTACTTTGTGAGGATGGCATTCAACTCATGGAGTTGAACAATCCTATTGATAGAGCAGATTGGAATCACTCTTTTTGTAGAATCTGCAAATGGAGATTTGGACTGCTTTGAGGCCTACGGTAGTATAGGAAGGAACTTCATATAAAAGGCAAACGGAAGCATTCTCAGAATATTCTTTGTGATGATGGAGTTTCACTCACAGAGCTTAACATGCCTTTTGTTGGAGCAGTTTCCAAATACACTTTTGGTAGAATCTGCAGGTGGATATTTGGAGCTCTCTGAGGATTTCGTTGGAAACGGGAATAATTTCCCATAACTAAACACAAACACTCTGAGAAAGTTCTTCATGATGAATGCATTTAACTCGCAGAGATGAACCTGCCTTTGAGAGTTCAGGTTCGAAACACTCTTTCTGTAGAATCTGCAAGTGGATATTTGGACCACTGGGTGGCCTTCGTTCGAAACGGGTATATGTTCACGTAAAAACTAAAGAGAAGCATTCTCAGAAACTTCTGAGTGATGATTGCATTCAAGTCACACAGTTGAACCCTCCTTTTGATGGAGCAGTTTTGAAACTGTCTTTTTGTAGAATCTGTAAGTGGATACGTGGACCTCTTTGAAGATTTCTTTGGAAACGGGAATATTTCCACAGAAAAACTAAACTGAAGCATTCTCAGAAACTGCTTTGTGATGTTTGTGTTCGAGCCACAGAGTTTAACATTGCTTTTCATAGAGCAGTTTTGAAATATTCTTTTGGCAGAATCTGCAAGTGGACATTTGGAGCGCTTTCAGGCCTGTGGTGGAAAAGGCCTGAAAGCCTTTTCCTTTATCTTCACAGAAAGACGAGAGAGAAGCATTGTCAGAAACTTCTTTGTGATGATTGCATGCAACTCACAGAGTTGAAGATTCCTTTTGAAACAGCAGTTTCGAAACACTCTTTCTGTGGGATCCGCAAGGGGATATTTGGACCTCTTTGAAGGTTTCGTTGGAAACGGGATAATCTTCACCTAAAAGCTAAACGGAAGCATTCTCAGAAACTTCTTTGGGATGTTTGCATTCACCTCACAGAGTTGAACTTTCCCTTTGATAGCGCAGCTTTGACACACTTTTTCTACAATGTGCAAGTGGCTATTTAGCGGGCTTGGAGGACTGTGTTGGAAAAGGAAATATCTTCTCCTAAAAACGACATAGAAGCATTCTCAGAAACTGCTCTGTGATGATTGCATTCAACTCCCAGAGTTGAACATTCCTTTTGATAGAGCAGTTTGCAAACACTCTTTTTGTAGAATCTGCAAGTGGAGATTTGGACCGCTTTGAGGCCTGTGGTAGTGAAGGAAAGAGCTTCATATAAAAACCAGACGGTAGCACTCTCAGAAAATTCTTTGTGACGATGGAGTTTAACTCAGGGAGCTGAACATTCGTTATGATGGAGCAGTTTCCAAACACACGTTTTGTAGAATCTGCAAGGGGATATTTGGACCTCTCTGAGGATTTCGTTGGAAACGGGATCAACTTCCCATAACTGAACGGAAGCAAACTCAGAACATTCTTTGTGATGTTTGTATTCAATTCACAGAGTTGAACCTTCCTTTGATAGTTCAGGTTTGCAACACCCTTGTAGTAGAATCTGCAAGTGTATATTTTGACCACTTTGTAGCCTTCGTTTGAAACGTCTATATCTTCACATCAAACCTAGACAGAAGCATTCTCAGAAAGATTTCTGCGATGACTGCATTGAACTCACAGAGTTGAACAATCCTTCTGATGGAGCAGTTTTTAAACCCTCTTTCTTTGGAATCTGCAAGGGGATATGTGGACCTCTTTGAAGATTTCACTGGAAACGGGATCATCTTCACATAAAAACTAAACAGAAGCATTCTCGGAAACTATTTTGTGATGTTTGTATTCAACTCCCAGAGTTGAACTTTCCTTTTGAAAGAGCAGCTATGAAACACTCTTTTTCGAGAATCTGCAAGTGGACGTTTGGAGGGCTTTGAGGCCTGTGGTGGAAAAGGAAATATCTTCACACAAAAACCAGATAGAAGCATTCTCAGAAACGACTTTGTGAGGATGGCATTCAACTCATGGAGTTGAACAATCCTATTGATACAGCAGATTGGAATCACTCTTTTTGTAGAATCTGCAAATGGAGATTTGGACTGCTTTGAGGCCTACGGTAGTACAGGAAGGAACTTCATATAAAAGGCAAACGGAAGCATTCTCAGAATATTCTTTGTGATGATGGAGTTTCACTGACAGAGCTGAACATGCCTTTTGATGGAGCAGTTTCCAAATACACTTTTGGTAGAATCTGCAGGTGGATATTTGGAGCTCTCTGAGGATTTCGTTGGAAACGGGAATAATTTCCCATAACTAAACACAAACACTCTGAGAAAGTTCTTCATGATGAATGCATTTAACTCGCAGAGATGAACCTTCCTTTGAGAGTTCAGGTTCGAAACACTCTTTCTGTATAATCTGCAAGTGGATATTTGGACCACTGGGTGGCCTTCGTTCGAAACGGGTATATGTTCACGTAAAAACTAAAGAGAAGCATTCTCAGAAACTTCTGAGTGATGATTGCATTCAAGTCACACAGTTGAACCCTCCTTTTGATGGAGCAGTTTTGAAACTGTCTTTTTGTAGAATCTGTAAGTGGATACGTGGACCTCTTTGAAGATTTCTTTGGAAACGGGAATATTTCCACAGAAAAACTAAACTGAAACATTCTCAGAAACCGCTTTGTGATGTTTGTGTTCCAGCCACAGAGTTTAACATTGCTTTTCATAGAGCAGTTTTGAAATATTCTTTTGGCAGAATCTGCAAGTGGACATTTGGAGCGCTTTCAGGCCTGTGGTGGAAAAGGCCTGAAAGCCTTTTCCTTTATCTTCACAGAAAGACGAGAGAGAAGCATTGTCAGAAACTTCTTTGTGATGATTGCATTCAACTCACAGAGTTGAAGATTCCTTTTGAAACAGCAGTTTCGAAACACTCTTTCTGTGGGATCCGCAAGGGGATATTTGGACCTCTTTGAAGGTTTCGTTGGAAACGGGATAATCTTCACCTAAAAGCTAAACGGAAGCATTCTCAGAAACTTCTTTGGGATGTTTGCATTCACCTCACAGAGTTGAACTTTCCCTTTGATAGCGCAGCTTTGACACACTTTTTCTACAATGTGCAAGAGGCTATTTAGCGGGCTTGGAGGACTGTGTTGGAAAAGGAAATATCTTCTCCTAAAAACGACATAGAAGCATTCTCAGAAACTGCTCTGTGATGATTGCATTCAACTCCCAGAGTTGAACATTCCTTTTGATAGAGCAGTTTGCAAACACTCTTTTTGTAGAATCTGCAAGTGGAGATTTGGACCGCTTTGAGGCCTGTGGTAGTGAAGGAAAGAACTTCATATAAAAACCAGACGGTAGCACTCTCAGAAAATTCTTTGTGACGATGGAGTTTAACTCAGGGAGCTGAACATTCGTTATGATGGAGCAGTTTCCAAACACACGTTTTGTAGAATCTGCGAGGGGATATTTGGACCTCTCTGAGGATTTCGTTGGAAACGGGATCAACTTCCCATAACTGAACGGAAGCAAACTCAGAACATTCTTTGTGATGTTTGTATTCAACTCACAGAGTTGAACCTTCCTTTGATAGTTCAGGTTTGCAACACCCTTGTAGTAGAATCTGCAAGTGTATATTTTGACCACTTTGTAGCCTTCGTTTGAAACGTCTATATCTTCACATCAAACCTAGACAGAAGCATTCTCAGAAAGTTTTCTGCGATGACTGCATTCAACTCACAGAGTTGAACAATCCTTCTGATGGAGCAGTTTTGAAACCCTCTTTCTTTGGAATCTGCAAGGGGATATGTGGACCTCTTTGAAGATTTCACTGGAAACGGGATCATCTTCATATAAAAACTAAACAGAAGCATTCTCAGAAACTATTTTGTGATGTTTGTATTCAACTCCCAGAGTTGAACTTTCCTTTTGAAAGAGCAGCTATGAAACACTCTTTTTCGAGAATCTGCAAGTGGACGTTTGGAGGGCTTTGAGGCCTGTGGTGGAAAAGGAAATATCTTCACACAAAAACCAGATAGAAGCATTCTCAGAAACTACTTTGTGAGGATGGCATTCAACTCATGGAGTTGAACAATCCTATTGATAGAGCAGATTGGAATCACTCTTTTTGTAGAATCTGCAAATGGAGATTTGGACTGCTTTGAGGCCTACGGTAGTACAGGAAGGAACTTCATATAAAAGGCAAACGGAAGCATTCTCAGAATATTCTTTGTGATGATGGAGTTTCACTCACAGAGCTGAACATGCCTTTTGATGGAGCAGTTTCCAAATACACTTTTGGTAGAATCTGCAGGTGGATATTTGGAGCTCTCTGAGGATTTCGTTGGAAACGGGAATAATTTCCCATAACTAAACACAAACACTCTGAGTAAAGTTCTTCATGATGAATGCATTTAACTCGCAGAGATGAACCTGCCTTTGAGAGTTCAGGTTCGAAACACTCTTTCTGTAGAATCTGCAAGTGGATATTTGGACCACTGTGTGGCCTTCGTTCTAAACGGGTATATGTTCACGTAAAAACTAAAGAGAAGCATTCTCAGAAACTTCTGAGTGATGATTGCATTCAAGTCACACAGTTGAACCCTCCTTTTGATGGAGCAGTTTTGAAACTGTCTTTTTGTAGAATCTGTAAGTGGATACGTGGACCTCTTTGAAGATTTCTTTGGAAACGGGAATATTTCCACAGAAAAACTAAACTGAAGCATTCTCAGAAACTGCTTTGTGATGTTTGTGTTCGAGCCACAGAGTTTAACATTGCTTTTCATAGAGCAGTTTTGCAATATTCTTTTCACAGAATCTGCAAGTGGACATTTGGAGCGCTTTCAGGCCTGTGGTGGGAAAAGGCCTGAAAGCCTTTTCCTTTATCTTCACAGAAAGACGAGAGAGAAGCATTGTCAGAAACTTCTTTGTGATGATTGCATTCAACTCACAGAGTTGATGATTCCTTTTGAAACAGCAGTTTCGAAACACTCTTTCTGTGGGATCCGCGAGGGTATATTTGGACCTCTTTGAAGATTTCGTTGGAAACGGGATAATCTTCACCTAAAAGCTAAACGGAAGCATTCTCAGAAACTTCTTTGGGATGTTTGCATTCACCTCACAGAGTTGAACTTTCCCTTTGATAGCGCAGCTTCGACACACTTTTTCTACAATGTGCAAGTGGATATTTAGCGGGCTTGGAGGACTGTGTTGGAAAAGGAAATATCTTCTCCTAAAAACGACATAGAAGCATTCTCAGAAACTGCTCTGTGATGATTGCATTCAACTCCCAGAGTTGAACATTCCTTTTGATAGAGCAGTTTGCAGACACTCTTTTTGTAGAATCTGCAAGTGGAGATTTGGACCGCTTTGAGGCCTGTGGTAGTAAAGGAAAGAACTTGATATAAAAACTAGAAGGTAGCACTCTCAGAAAATTCTTTGTGACGATGGAGTTTAATTCAGAGAGCTGAACATTCGTTATGATGGAGCTGTTTCCAAACACACGTTTTGTAGAATCTGCAAGGGGATATTTGGACCTCTCTGAGGATTTCGTTGGAAACGGGATCAACTTCCCATAACTGAACGGAAGCAAACTCAGAACATTCTTTGCGATGTTTGTATTCAACTCACAGAGTTGAACCTTCCTTTGATAGTTAAGGTTTGCAACACCCTTGTAGTAGAATCTGCAAGTGTATATTTTGACCACTTTGTAGCCTTCGTTTGAAACGTCTATATCTTCACATCAAACCTAGACAGAAGCATTCTCAGAAAGTTTTCTGCGATGACTGCATTCAACTCACGGAGTTGAACAATCCTTTTGATGGAGCAGTTTTGAAACCCTCTTTCTTTGGAATCTGCAAGGGGATATGTGGACCTCTTTGAAGATTTCACTGGAAACGGGATCATCTTCACATAAGAACTAAACAGAAGCATTCTCGGAAACTACTTTGTGATGTTTGTATTCAACTCCCAGAGTTGAACTTTCCTTTTGAAAGAGCAGCTATGAAACACTCTTTTTCGAGAATCTGCAAGTGGACGTTTGGAGGGCTTTGAGGCCTGTGGTGGAAAAGGAAATATCTTCACATAAAAACTAGAATAGAAGCATTCTCAGAAACGACTTTGTGAGGATGGCATTCAACTCATGGAGTTGAACAATCCTATTGATAGAGCAGATTGGAATCACTCTTTTTGTAGAATCTGCAAATGGAGATTTGGACTGCTTTGAGGCCTCCGGTCGTATAGGAAGGAACTTCATATAAAAGGCAAACGGAAGCATTCTCAGAATATTCTTTGTGATGATGGAGTTTCACTCACAGAGCTGAACATGCCTTTTGATGGAGCAGTTTCCAAATACACTTTTGGTAGAATCTGCAGGTGGATATTTGGACCTCTCTGAGGATTTCGTTGGAAACGGGAATAATTTCCCATAACTAAACACAAACACTCTGAGAAAGTTCTTCATGATGAATGCATTTAACTCGCAGAGATGAACCTGCCTTTGAGAGTTCATGTTCGAAACACTCTTTCTGTAGAATCTGCAAGTGGATATTTGGACCACTGGCTGGCCTTCGTTCGAAACGGGTATATGTTCACGTAAAAACTAAAGAGAAGCATTCTCAGAAACTTCTGAGTGATGATTGCATTCAAGTCACACAGTTGAACCCTCCTTTTGATGGAGCAGTTTTGAAACTGTCTTTTTGTAGAATCTGTAAGTGGATACGTGGACCTCTTTGAAGATTTCTTTGGAAACGGGAATATTTCCACAGAAAAACTAAACTGAAGCATTCTCAGAAACCGCTTTGTGATGTTTGTGTTCCAGCCACAGAGTTTAACATTGCTTTTCATAGAGCAGTTTTGAAATATTCTTTTCGCAGAATCTGCAAGTGGACATTTGGAGCGCTTTCAGGCCTGTGGTGGAAAAGGCCTGAAAGCCTTTTCCTTTATCTTCACAGAAAGACGAGAGAGAAGCATTGTCAGAAACTTCTTTGTGATGATTGCATTCAACTCACAGAGTTGAAGATTCCTTTTGAAACAGCAGTTTCGAAACACTCTTTCTGTGGGATCCGCAAGGGGATATTTGGACCTCTTTGAAGGTTTCGTTGGAAACGGGATAATCTTCACCTAAAAGCTAAACGGAAGCATTCTCAGAAACTTCTTTGGGATGTTTGCATTCACCTCACAGAGTTGAACTTTCCCTTTGATAGCGCAGCTTTGACACACTTTTTCTACAATGTGCAAGTGGCTATTTAGCGGGCTTGGAGGACTGTGTTGGAAAAGGAAATATCTTCTCCTAAAAACGACATAGAAGCATTCTCAGAAACTGCTCTGTGATGATTGCATTCAACTCCCAGAGTTGAACATTCCTTTTGATAGAGCAGTTTGCAAACACTCTTTTTGTAGAATCTGCAAGTGGAGATTTGGACCGCTTTGAGGCCTGTGGTAGTGAAGGAAAGAACTTCATATAAAAACCAGACGGTAGCACTCTCAGAAAATTCTTTGTGACGATGGAGTTTAACTCAGGGAGCTGAACATTCGTTATGATGGAGCAGTTTCCAAACACACGTTTTGTAGAATCTGCAAGGGGATATTTGGACCTCTCTGAGGATTTCGTTGGAAACGGGATCAACTTCCCATAACTGAACGGAAGCAAACTCAGAACATTCTTTGTTATGTTTGTATTCAACTCACAGAGTTGAACCTTCCTTTGATAGTTCAGGTTTGCAAAACCCTTGTAGTAGAATCTGCAAGTGTATATTTTGACCACTTTGTAGCCTTCGTTTGAAACGTCTATATCTTCACATCAAACCTAGACAGAAGCATTCTCAGAAAGTTTTCTGCGATGACTGCATTCAACTCACAGAGTTGAACAATCCTTTTGATGGAGCAGTTTTGAAACCCTCTTTCTTTGGAATCTGCAAGGGGATATGTGGACCTCTTTGAAGATTTCACTGGAAACGGGATCATCTTCACATAAAAACTAAACAGAAGCATTCTCGGAAACTATTTTGTGATGTTTGTATTCAACTCCCAGAGTTGAACTTTCCTTTTGAAAGAGCAGCTATGAAACACTCTTTTTCGAGAATCTGCAAGTGGACGTTTGGAGGGCTTTGAGGCCTGTGGTGGAAAAGGAAATATCTTCACACAAAAACCAGATAGAAGCATTCTCAGAAACTACTTTGTGAGGATGGCATTCAACTCATGGAGTTGAACAATCCTATTGATACAGCAGATTGGAATCACTCTTTTTGTAGAATCTGCAAATGGAGATTTGGACTGCTTTGAGGCCTACGGTAGTACAGGAAGGAACTTCATATAAAAGGCAAACGGAAGCATTCTCAGAATATTCTTTGTGATGATGGAGTTTCACTCACAGAGCTGAACATGCCTTTTGATGGAGCAGTTTCCAAATACACTTTTGGTAGAATCTGCAGGTGGATATTTGGAGCTCTCTGAGGATTTCGTTGGAAACGGGAATAATTTCCCATAACTAAACACAAACACTCTGAGAAAGTTCTTCATGATGAATGCATTTAACTCGCAGAGATGAACCTGCCTTTGAGAGTTCAGGTTCGAAACACTCTTTCTGTAGAATCTGCAAGTGGATATTTGGACCACTGGGTGGCTTCGTTCGAAACGGGTATATGTTCACGTAAAAACTAAAGAGAAGCATTCTCAGCAAACTTCTGAGTGATGATTGCATTCAAGTCACACAGTTGAACCCTCCTTTTGATTGAGCAGTTTTGAAACTGTCTTTTTGTAGAATCTGTAAGTGGATACGTGGACCTCTTTGAAGATTTCTTTGGAAACGGGAATATTTCCACAGAAAAACTAAACTGAAGCATTCTCAGAGACCGCTTTGTGATGTTTGTGTTCGAGCCACAGAGTTTAACATTGCTTTTCATAGAGCAGTTTTGAAATATTCTTTTGGCAGAATCTGCAAGTGGACATTTGGAGCGCTTTCAGGCCTGTGGTGGCAAAGGCCTGAAAGCCTTTTCCTTTATCTTCACAGAAAGACGAGAGAGAAGCATTGTCAGAAACTTCTTTGTGATGATTGCATTCAACTCACAGAGTTGAAGATTCCTTTTGAAACAGCAGTTTCGAAACACTCTTTCTGTGGGATCCGCAAGGGGATATTTGGACCTCTTTGAAGGTTTCGTTGGAAACGGGATAATCCTCACCTAAAAGCTAAACGGAAGCATTCTCAGAAACTTCTTTGGGATGTTTGCATTCACCTCACAGAGTTGAACTTTCCCTTTGATAGCGCAGCTTTGACACACTTTTTCTACAATGTGCAAGTGGCTATTTAGCGGGCTTGGAGGACTGTGTTGGAAAAGGAAATATCTTCTCCTAAAAACGACATAGAAGCATTCTCAGAAACTGCTCTGTGATGATTGCATTCAACTCCCAGAGTTGAACATTCCTTTTGATAGAGCAGTTTGCAAACACTCTTTTTGTAGAATCTGCAAGTGGAGATTTGGACCGCTTTGAGGCCTGTGGTAGTGAAGGAAAGAACTTCATATAAAAACCAGACGGTAGCACTCTCAGAAAATTCTTTGTGACGATGGAGTTTAACTCAGGGAGCTGAACATTCGTTATGATGGAGCAGTTTCCAAACACACGTTTTGTAGAATCTGCAAGGGGATATTTGGACCTCTCTGAGGATTTCGTTGGAAACGGGATCAACTTCCCATAACTGAACGGAAGCAAACTCAGAACATTCTTTGTGATGTTTGTATTCAACTCACAGAGTTGAACCTTCCTTTGATAGTTCAGGTTTGCAACACCCTTGTAGTAGAATCTGCAAGTGTATATTTTGACCACTTTGTAGCCTTCGTTTGAAACATGCTATATCTTCACATCAAACCTAGACAGAAGCATTCTCAGAAAGTTTTCTGCGATGACTGCATTCAACTCACAGAGTTGAACAATCCTTCTGATGGAGCAGTTTTGAAACCCTCTTTCTTTGGAATCTGCAAGGGGATATGTGGACCTCTTTGAAGATTTCACTGGAAACGGGATCATCTTCACATAAAAACTAAACAGAAGCATTCTCGGAAACTACTTTGTGATGTTTGTATTCAACTGCCAGAGGTGAACTTTCCTTTTGAAAGAGCAGCTATGAAACACTCTTTTTCGAGAATCTGCAAGTGGACGTTTGGAGGGCTTTGAGGCCTGTGGTGGAAAAGGAAATATCTTCACATAAAAACTAGATAGAAGCATTCTCAGAAACTACTTTGTGAGGATGGCATTCAACTCATGGAGTTGAACAGTCCTATTGATAGAGCAGATTGGAATCACTCTTTTTGTAGAATCTGCAAATGGAGATTTGGACTGCTTTGAGGCCTACGGTAGTATAGGAAGGAACTTCATATAAAAGGCAAACGGAAGCATTCTCAGAATATTCTTTGTGATGATGGAGTTTCACTCACAGAGCTGAACATGCCTTTTGATGGAGCAGTTTCCAAATACACTTTTGGTAGAATCTGCAGGTGGATATTTGGAGCTCTCTGAGGATTTCGTTGGAAACGGGAATAATTTCCCATAACTAAACACAAACACGCTGAGAAAGTTCTTCATGATGAATGCATTGAACTCGCAGAGATGAACCTGCCTTTGAGAGTTCAGGTTCGAAACACTCTTTCTGTAGAATCTGCAAGTGGATATTTGGACCACTGGCTGGCCTTCGTTCGAAACGGGTATATGTTCACGTAAAAACTAAAGAGAAGCGTTCTCAGAAACTTCTGAGTGATGATTGCATTCAAGTCACACAGTTGAACCCTCCTTTTGATTGAGCAGTTTTGAAACTGTCTTTTTGTAGAATCTGTAAGTGGATACGTGGACCTCTTTGAAGATTTCTTTGGAAACGGGAATATTTCCACAGAAAAACTAAACTGAAGCATTCTCAGAAACTGCTTTGTGATGTTTGTGTTCGAGCCACAGAGTTTAACATTGCTTTTCATAGAGCAGTTTTGAAATATTCTTTTGGCAGAATCTGCAAGTGGACATTTGGAGCGCTTTCAGGCCTGTGGTGGAAAAGGCCTGAAAGCCTTTTCCTTTATCTTCACAGAAAGATGAGAGAGAAGCATTGTCAGAAACTTCTTTGTGATGATTGCATTCAACTCACAGAATTGAAGATTCCTTTTGAAACAGCAGTTTCGGAACACTCTTTCTGTGGGATCCGCAGGGGGATATTTGGACCTCTTTGAAGATTTCGTTGGAAACGGGATAATCTTCACCAAAAAGCTAAACGGAAGCATTCTCAGAAACTTCTTTGGGATGTTTGCATTCACCTCACAGAGTTGAACTTTCCCTTTGATAGCGCAGCTTTGACACACTTTTTCTAGAATGTGCAAGTGGCTATTTAGCGGGCTTGGAGGACTGTGGTGGAAAAGGAAATATCTACTCCTAAAAACGACATAGAAGCATTCTCAGAAACTGCTCTGTGATGATTGCATTCAACTCCCAGAGTTGAACATTCCTTTTGATAGAGCAGTTTGCAAACACTCTTTTTGTAGAATCTGCAAGTGGAGATTTGGACCGCTTTGAGGCCTGTGGTAGTGAAGGAAAGAACTTCATATAAAAACCAGACGGTAGCACTCTCAGAAAATTCTTTGTGACGATGGAGTTTAACTCAGAGCAGCTGAACATTCGTTATGATGGAGCAGTTTCCAAACACACGTTTTGTAGAATCTGCAAGGGGATATTTGGACCTCTCTGAGGATTTCGTTGGAAACGGGATCAACTTCCCATAACTGAACGGAAGCAAACTCAGAACATTCTTTGTGATGTTTGTATTCAACTCACAGAGTTGAACCTTCCTTTGATAGTTCAGGTTTGCAACACCCTTGTAGTAGAATCTGCAAGTGTATATTTTGACCACTTTGTAGCCTTCGTTTGAAACGTCTATATCTTCACATCAAACCTAGAAAGAAGCATTCTCAGAAAGTTTTCTGCGATGACTGCATTCAACTCACAGAGTTGAACAATCCTTTTGATGGAGCAGTTTTGAAACCCTCTTTCTTTGGAATCTGCAAGGGGATATGTGGACCTCTTTGAAGATTTCACTGGAAACGGGATCATCTTCACATAAGAACTAAACAGAAGCATTCTCGGAAACTACTTTGTGATGTTTGTATTCAACTCCCAGAGTTGAACTTTCCTTTTGAAAGAGCAGCTATGAAACACTCTTTTTCGAGAATCTGCAAGTGGACGTTTGGAGGGCTTTGAGGCCTGTGGTGGAAAAGGAAATATCTTCACATAAAAACTAGATAGAAGCATTCTCAGAGACTACTTTGTGAGGATGGCATTCAACTCATGGAGTTGAACAATCCTATTGATAGAGCAGATTGGAATCACTCTTTTTGTAGAATCTGCAAATGGAGATTTGGACTGCTTTGAGGCCTACGGTAGTATAGGAAGGAACTTCATATAAAAGGCAAACGGAAGCATTCTCAGAATATTCTTTGTGATGATGGAGTTTCACTCACAGAGCTGAACATGCCTTTTGATGGAGCAGTTTCCAAATACACTTTTGGTAGAATCTGCAGGTGGATATTTGGACCTCTCTGAAGATTTCGTTGGAAACGGGAATAATTTCCCATACCTAAACACAAACACTCTGAGAAAGTTCTTCATGATGAATGCATTGAACTCGCAGAGATGAACCTGCCTTTGAGAGTTCAGGTTCGAAACACTCTTTCTGTAGAATCTGCAAGTGGATATTTGGACCACTGGGTGGCCTTCGTTCGAAACGGGTATATGTTCACGTAAAAACTAAAGAGAAGCATTCTCAGAAACTTCTGAGTGATGATTGCATTCAAGTCACACGGTTGAACCCTCCTTTTGATTGAGCAGTTTTGAAACTGTCTTTTTGTAGAATCTGTAAGTGGATACGTGGACCTCTTTGAAGATTTCTTTGGAAATGGGAATATTTCCACAGAAAAACTAAACTGAAGCATTCTCAGAAACTGCTTTGTGATGTTTGTGTTCGAGCCGCAGAGTTTAACATTGCTTTTCATAGAGCAGTTTTGAAATATTCTTTTGGCAGAATCTGCAAGTGGACATTTGGAGCGCTTTCAGGCCTGTGGTGGAAAAGGCCTGAAAGCCTTTTCCTTTATCTTCACAGAAAGACGAGAGAGAAGCATTGTCAGAAACTTCTTTGTGATGATTGCATTCAACCCACAGAGTTGAAGATTCCTTTTGAAACAGCAGTTTCGAAACACTCTTTCTGTGGGATCCGCAAGGGGATATTTGGACCTCTTTGAAGATTTCGTTGGAAACAGGATAATCTTCACCTAAAAGCTAAACGGAAGCATTCTCAGAAACTTCTTTGGGATGTTTGCATTCACCTCACAGAGTTGAACTTTCCCTTTGATAGCGCAGCTTCGACACACTTTTTCTACAATGTGCAAGTGGATATTTAGCGGGCTTGGAGGACTGTGTTGGAAAAGGAAATATCTTCTCCTAAAAACGACATAGAAGCATTCTCAGAAACTGCTCTGTGATGATTGCATTCAACTCCCAGAGTTGAACATTCCTTTTGATAGAGCAGTTTGCAAACACTCTTTTTGTAGAATCTGCAAGTGGAGATTTGGACCGCTTTGAGGCCTGTGGTAGTGAAGGAAAGAACTTCATATAAAAACCAGACGGTAGCACTCTCAGAAAATTCTTTGTGACGATGGAGTTTAACTCAGGGAGCTGGACATTCGTTATGATGGAGCAGTTTCCAAACACACGTTTTGTAGAATCTGCAAGGGGATATTTGGACCTCTCTGAGGATTTCGTTGGAAACGGGATCAACTTCCCATAACTGAACGGAAGCAAACTCAGAACATTCTTTGTGATGTTTGTATTCAACTCACAGAGTTGAACCTTCCTTTGATAGTTCAGGTTTGCAACACCCTTGTAGTAGAATCTGCAAGTGTATATTTTGACCACTTTGTAGCCTTCATTTGAAACGTCTATATCTTCACATCAAACCTAGACAGAAGCATTCTCAGAAAGTTTTCTGCGATGACTGCATTCAACTCACAGAGTTGAACAATCCTTCTGATGGAGCAGTTTTGAAACCCTCTTTCTTTGGAATCTGCAAGGGGATATGTGGACCTCTTTGAAGATTTCACTGGAAACGGGATCATCTTCACATAAAAACTAAACAGAAGCATTCTCGGAAACTATTTTGTGATGTTTGCATTCAACTCCCAGAGTTGAACTTTCCTTTTGAAAGAGCAGCTATGAAACACTCTTTTTCGAGAATCTGCAAGTGGACGTTTGGAGGGCTTTGAGGCCTGTGGTGGAAAAGGAAATATCTTCACACAAAAACCAGATAGAAGCATTCTCAGAAACTACTTTGTGAGGATGGCATTCAACTCATGGAGTTGAACAATCCTATTGATAGAGCAGATTGGAATCACTCTTTTTGTAGAATCTGCAAATGGAGATTTGGACTGCTTTGAGGCCTACGGTAGTACAGGAAGGAACTTCATATAAAAGGCAAACGGAAGCATTCTCAGAATATTCTTTGTGATGATGGAGTTTCACTCACAGAGCTGAACATGCCTTTTGATGGAGCAGTTTCCAAATACACTTTTGGTAGAATCTGCAGGTGGATATTTGGAGCTCTCTGAGGATTTCGTTGGAAACGGGAATAATTTCCCATAACTAAACACAAACACTCTGAGAAAGTTCTTCATGATGAATGCATTTAACTCGCAGAGATGAACCTGCCTTTGAGAGTTCAGGTTCGAAACACTCTTTCTGTATAATCTGCAAGTGGATATTTGGACCACTGGGTGGTCTTCGTTCGAAACGGGTATATGTTCACGTAAAAACTAAAGAGAAGCATTCTCAGAAACTTCTGAGTGATGATTGCATTCAAGTCACACAGTTGAACCCTCCTTTTGATGGAGCAGTTTTGAAACTGTCTTTTTGTAGAATCTGTAAGTGGATACGTGGACCTCTTTGAAGATTTCTTTGGAAACGGGAATATTTCCACAGAAAAACTAAACTGAAGCATTCTCAGAAACCGCTTTGTGATGTTTGTGTTCGAGCCGCAGAGTTTAACATTGCTTTTCATAGAGCAGTTTTGAAATATTCTTTTGGCAGAATCTGCAAGTGGACATTTGGAGCGCTTTCAGGCCTGTGGTGGCAAAGGCCTGAAAGCCTTTTCCTTTATCTTCACAGAAAGACGAGAGAGAAGCATTGTCAGAAACTTCTTTGTGATGATTGCATTCAACTCACAGAGTTGAGGATTCCTTTTGAAACAGCAGTTTCGAAACACTCTTTCTGTGGGATCCGCAAGGGGATATTTGGACCTCTTTGAAGGTTTCGTTGGAAACGGGATAATCTTCACCTAAAAGCTAAACGGAAGCATTCTCAGAAACTTCTTTGGGATGTTTGCATTCACCTCACAGAGTTGAACTTTCCCTTTGATAGCGCAGCTTTGACACACTTTTTCTACAATGTGCAAGTGGCTATTTAGCGGGCTTGGAGGACTGTGTTGGAAAAGGAAATATCTTCTCCTAAAAACGACATAGAAGCATTCTCAGAAACTGCTCTGTGATGATTGCATTCAACTCCCAGAGTTGAACATTCCTTTTGATAGAGCAGTTTGCAAACACTCTTTTTGTAGAATCTGCAAGTGGAGATTTGGACCGCTTTGAGGCCTGTGGTAGTGAAGGAAAGAACTTCATATAAAAACCAGACGGTAGCAATCTCAGAAAATTCTTTGTGACGATGGAGTTTAACTCAGGGAGCTGAACATTCGTTATGATGGAGCAGTTTCCAAACACACGTTTTGTAGAATCTGCAAGGGGATATTTGGACCTCTCTGAGGATTTCGTTGGAAACGGGATCAACTTCCCATAACTGAACGGAAGCAAACTCAGAACATTCTTTGTGATGTTTGTATTCAACTCACAGAGTTGAACCTTCCTTTGATAGTTCAGGTTTGCATCACCCTTGTAGTAGAATCTGCAAGTGTATATTTTGACCACTTTGTAGCCTTCGTTTGAAACGTCTATATGCTTCACATCAAACCTAGACAGAAGCATTCTCAGAAAGTTTTCTGCGATGACTGCATTCAACTCACAGAGTTGAACAATCCTTTTGATGGAGCAGTTTTGAAACCCTCTTTCTTTGGAATCTGCAAGAGGATATGTGGACCTCTTTGAAGATTTCACTGGAAACGGGATCATCTTCACATAAAAACTAAACAGAAGCATTCTCGGAAACTATTTTGTGATGTTTGTATTCAACTCCCAGAGTTGAACTTTCCTTTTGAAAGAGCAGCTATGAAACACTCTTTTTCTAGAATCTGCAAGTGGACGTTTGGAGGGCTTTGAGGCCTGTGGTGGAAAAGGAAATATCTTCACACAAAAACCAGATAGAAGCATTCTCAGAAACTACTTTGTGAGGATGGCATTCAACTCATGGAGTTGAACAATCCTATTGATAGAGCAGATTGGAATCACTCTTTTTGTAGAATCTGCAAATGGAGATTTGGACTGCTTTGAGGCCTACGGTAGTACAGGAAGGAAGTTCATATAAAAGGCAAACGGAAGCATTCTCAGAATATTCTTTGTGATGATGGAGTTTCACTCACAGAGCTGAACATGCCTTTTGATGGAGCAGTTTCCAAATACACTTTTGGTAGAATCTGCAGGTGGATATTTGGAGCTCTCTGAGGATTTCGTTGGAAACGGGAATAATTTCCCATAACTAAACACAAACACTCTGAGAAAATTCTTCATGATGAATGCATTTAACTCGCAGAGATGAACCTGCCTTTGAGAGTTCAGGTTCGAAACACTCTTTCTGTATAATCTGCAAGTGGATATTTGGACCACTGGGTGGCCTTCGTTCGAAACGGGTATATGTTCACGTAAAAACTAAAGAGAAGCATTCTCAGAAACTTCTGAGTGATGATTGCATTCAAGTCACACAGTTGAACCCTCCTTTTGATGGAGCAGTTTTGAAACTGTCTTTTTGTAGAATCTGTAAGTGGATACGTGGACCTCTTTGAAGATTTCTTTGGAAACGGGAATATTTCCACAGAAAAACTAAACTGAAACATTCTCAGAAACCGCTTTGTGATGTTTGTGTTCCAGCCACAGAGTTTAACATTGCTTTTCATAGAGCAGTTTTGAAATATTCTTTTGGCAGAATCTGCAAGTGGACATTTGGAGCGCTTTCAGGCCTGTGGTGGAAAAGGCCTGAAAGCCTTTTCCTTTATCTTCACAGAAAGACGAGAGAGAAGCATTGTCAGAAACTTCTTTGTGATGATTGCATTCAACTCACAGAGTTGAAGATTCCTTTTGAAACAGCAGTTTCGAAACACTCTTTCTGTGGGATCCGCAAGGGGATATTTGGACCTCTTTGAAGGTTTCGTTGGAAACGGGATAATCTTCACCTAAAAGCTAAACGGAAGCATTCTCAGAAACTTCTTTGGGATGTTTGCATTCACCTCACAGAGTTGAACTTTCCCTTTGATAGCGCAGCTTTGACACACTTTTTCTACAATGTGCAAGTGGCTATTTAGCGGGCTTGGAGGACTGTGTTGGAAAAGGAAATATACTTCTCCTAAAAACGACATAGAAGCATTCTCAGAAACTGCTCTGTGATGATTGCATTCAACTCCCAGTAGTTGAACATTCCTTTTGATAGAGCAGTTTGCAAACACTCTTTTTGTAGAATCTGCAAGTGGAGATTTGGACCGCTTTGAGGCCTGTGGTAGTAAAGGAAAGAACTTCATATAAAAACCAGACGGTTAGCACTCTCAGCAAAATTCTTTGTGACGATGGAGTTTAACTCAGGGAGCTGAACATTCGTTATGATGGAGCAGTTTCCAAACACACGTTTTGTAGAATCTGCGAGGGGATATTTGGACCTCTCTGAGGATTTCGTTGGAAACGGGATCAACTTCCCATAACTGAACGGAAGCAAACTCAGAACATTCTTTGTGATGTTTGTATTCAATTCACAGAGTTGAACCTTCCTTTGATAGTTCAGGTTTGCAACACCCTTGTAGTAGAATCTGCAAGTGTATATTTTGACCACTTTGTAGCCTTCGTTTGAAACGTCTATATCTTCACATCAAACCTAGACAGAAGCATTCTCAGAAAGTTTTCTGCGATGACTGCATTCAACTCACAGAGTTGAACAATCCTTCTGATGGAGCAGTTTTGAAACCCTCTTTCTTTGGAATCTGCAAGGGGATATGTGGACCTCTTTGAAGATTTCACTGGAAACGGGATCATCTTCACATAAAAACTAAACAGGAAGCATTCTCGGAAACTACTTTGTGATGTTTGCATTCAACTGCCAGAGTTGAACATTCCTTTTGAAAGAGCAGCTATGAAACACTCTTTTTGGAGAATCTACAAGTGGACGTTTGGAGGGCTTTGAGGCCTGTGGTGGAAAAGGAAATATCTTCACATAAAAACTAGATAGAAGCATTCTCAGAAATTAATTTGTGACGATGGCATTCAACTCACGGAGTTGAACAATCCTATTGATAGAGCAGATTGGAAACACTCTTTTTGTAGAATCTGCAAATGGAGATTTGGACTGCTTTGAGGCCTACGGTAGTATAGGAAGGAAATTCATAAAAAAGCAAACGGAAGCATTCTCAGAATATTCTTTGTGATGATGGAGTTTCACTCACAGAGCTGAACATGCCTTTTGATGGAGCAGTTTCCAAATACACTTTTGGTAGAATCTGCAGGTGGATATTTGGAGCTCTCTGAGGATTTCGTTGGAAACGGGAATAATTTCCCATAACTAAACACAAACACTCTGAGAAAGTTCTTCATGATGAATGCATTTAACTCGCAGAGATGAACCTGCATTTGAGAGTTCAGGTTCGAAACACTCTTTCTGTAGAATCTGCAAGTTGATATTTGGACCACTGGCTGGCCTTCGTTCGAAACGGGTATATGTTCACGTAAAAACTAAAGAGAAAGCATTCTCAGAAACTTCTGAGTGATGATTGCATTCAAGTCACACAGTTGAACCCTCCTTTTGATGGAGCAGTTTTGAAACTGTCTTTTTGTAGAATCTGTAAGTGGATACGTGGACCTCTTTGAAGATTTCTTTGGAAACGGGAATATTTTCACAGAAAAACTAAACTGAAGCATTCTCAGAAACTGCTTTGTGATGTTTGTGTTCGAGCCACAGAGTTTAACATTGCTTTTCATAGAGCAGTTTTGAAATATTCTTTTGGCAGAATCTGCAGGTGGACATTTGGAGCGCTTTCAGGCCTGTGGTGGAAAAGGCCTGAAAGCCTTTTCCTTTATCTTCACAGAAAGACGAGAGAGAAGCATTGTCAGAAACTTCTTTGTGATGATTGCATTCAACTCACAGAGTTGAAGATTCCTTTTGAAACAGCAGTTTCGAAACACTCTTTCTGTGGGATCCGCAAGGGGATATTTGGACCTCTTTGAAGGTTTCGTTGGAAACGGGATAATCTTCACCTAAAAGCTAAACGGAAGCATTCTCAGAAACTTCTTTGGGATGTTTGCATTCACCTCACAGAGTTGAACTTTCCCTTTGATAGCGCAGCTTTGACACACTTTTTCTACAATGTGCAAGTGGCTATTTAGCGGGCTTGGAGGACTGTGTTGGAAAAGGAAATATCTTCTCCTAAAAACGACATAGAAGCATTCTCAGAAACTGCTCTGTGATGATTGCATTCAACTCCCAGAGTTGAACATTCCTTTTGATAGAGCAGTTTGCAAACACTCTTTTTGTAGAATCTGCAAGTGGAGATTTGGACCGCTTTGAGGCCTGGGGTAGTGAAGGAAAGAACTTCATATAAAAACCAGACGGTAGCACTCTCAGAAAATTCTTTGTGACGATGGAGTTTAACTCAGGGAGCTGAACATTCATTATGATGGAGCAGTTTCCAAACACACGTTTTGTAGAATCTGCAAGGGGATATTTGGACCTCTCTGAGGATTTCGTTGGAAACGGGATCAACTTCCCATAACTGAACGGAAGCAAACTCAGAACATTCTTTGTGATGTTTGTATTCAACTCACAGAGTTGAACCTTCCTTTGATAGTTCAGGTTTGCAACACCCTTGTAGTAGAATCTGCAAGTGTATATTTTGACCACTTTGTAGCCTTCATTTGAAACGTCTATATCTTCACATCAAACCTAGACAGAAGCATTCTCAGAAAGTTTTCTGTGATGACTGCATTCAACTCACAGAGTTGAACAATCCTTCTGATGGAGCAGTTTTGAAACCCTCTTTCTTTGGAATCTGCAAGGGGATATGTGGACCTCTTTGAAGATTTCACTGGAAACGGGATCATCTTCACATAAAAACTAAACAGAAGCATTCTCGGAAACTACTTTGTGATGTTTGTATTCAACTCCCAGAGTTGAACTTTCCTTTTGAAAGAGCAGCTATGAAACACTCTTTTTCGAGAATCTGCAAGTGGACGTTTGGAGGGCTTTGAGGCCTGTGGTGGAAAAGGAAATATCTTCACATAAAAACTAGATAGAAGCATTCTCAGAAACTACTTTGTGAGGATGGCATTCAACTCAAGGAGTTGAACAATCCTATTGATAGAGCAGATTGGAATCACTCTTTTTGTAGAATCTGCAAATGGAGATTTGGACTGCTTTGAGGCCTACGGTCGTATAGGAAGGAACTTCAGATAAAAGGCAAACGGAAGCATTCTCAGAATATTCTTTGTGATGATGGAGTTTCACTCACAGAGCTGAACGTGCCTTTTGATGGAGCAGTTTCCAAATACACTTTTGGTAGAATCTGCAGGTGGATATTTGGAGCTCTCTGAGGATTTCGTTGGAAACGGGAATAATTTCCCATAACTAAACACAAACACTCTGAGAAAGTTCTTCATGATGAATGCATTTAACTCGCAGAGATGAACCTGCCTTTGAGAGTTCAGGTTCGAAACACTCTTTCTGTAGAATCTGCAAGTGGATATTTGGACCACTGGGTGGCCTTCGTTCGAAACGGGTATATGTTCACTTAAAAACTAAAGAGAAGCATTCTCAGAAACTTCTGAGTGATGATTGCATTCAAGTCACACAGTTGAACCCTCCTTTTGATGGAGCAGTTTTGAAACTGTCTTTTTGTAGAATCTGTAAGTGGATACGTGGACCTCTTTGAAGATTTCTTTGGAAACGGGAATATTTCCACAGAAAAACTAAACTGAAACATTCTCAGAAACCGCTTTGTGATGTTTGTGTTCCAGCCACAGAGTTTAACATTGCTTTTCATAGAGCAGTTTTGAAATATTCTTTTCGCAGAATCTGCAAGTGGACATTTGGAGCGCTTTCAGGCCTGTGGTGGAAAAGGCCTGAAAGCCTTTTCCTTTATCTTCACAGAAAGACGAGAGAGAAGCATTGTCAGAAACTTCTTTGTGATGATTGCATTCAGCTCACAGAGTTGAAGATTCCTTTTGAAACAGCAGTTTCGAAACACTCTTTCTGTGGGATCCGCAAGGGGATATTTGGACCTCTTTGCAGGTTTCGTTGGAAACGGGATAATCTTCACCTAAAAGCTAAACGGAAGCATTCTCAGAAACTTCTTTGGGATGTTTGCATTCACCTCACAGAGTTGAACTTTCCCTTTGATAGCGCAGCTTTGACACACTTTTTCTACAATGTGCAAGTGGCTATTTAGCGGGCTTGGAGGACTGTGTTGGAAAAGGAAATATCTTCTCCTAAAAACGACATAGAAGCATTCTCAGAAACTGCTCTGTGATGATTGCATTCAACTCCCAGAGTTGAACATTCCTTTTGATAGAGCAGTTTGCAAACACTCTTTTTGTAGAATCTGCAAGTGGAGATTTGGACCGCTTTGAGGCCTGTGGTAGTGAAGGAAAGAACTTCATATAAAAACCAGACGGTAGCACTCTCAGAAAATTCTTTGTGACGATGGAGTTTAACTCAGGGAGCTGAACATTCGTTATGATGGAGCAGTTTCCAAACACACGTTTTGTAGAATCTGCAAGGGGATATTTGGACCTCTCTGAGGATTTCGTTGGAAACGGGATCAACTTCCCATAACTGAACGGAAGCAAACTCAGAACATTCTTTGTGATGTTTGTATTCAACTCACAGAGTTGAACCTTCCTTTGATAGTTCAGGTTTGCAACACCCTTGTAGTAGAATCTGCAAGTGTATATTTTGACCACTTTGTAGCCTTCGTTTGAAACGTCTATATCTTCACATCAAACCTAGACAGAAGCATTCTCAGAAAGTTTTCTGCGATGACTGCATTCAACTCACAGAGTTGAACAATCCTTCTGATGGAGCAGTTTTGAAACCCTCTTTCGTTGGAATCTGAAAGGGGATATGTGGACCTCTTTGAAGATTTCACTGGAAACGGGATCATCTTCACATAAAAACTAAACAGAAGCATTCTCGGAAACTACTTTGTGATGTTTGTATTCAACTCCCAGAGTTGAACTTTCCTTTTGAAAGAGCAGCTATGAAACACTCTTTTTCGAGAATCTGCAAGTGGACGTTTGGAAGGCTTTGAGGCCTGTGGTGGAAAAGGAAATATCTTCACATAAAAACTAGATAGAAGCATTCTCAGAAACTACTTCGTGAGGATGGCATTCAACTCATGGAGTTGAACAATCCTATTGATAGAGCAGATTGGAATCACTCTTTTTGTAGAATCTGCAAATGGAGATTTGGACTGCTTTGAGGCCTACGGTAGTATAGGAAGGAACTTCATATAAAAGGCAAACGGAAGCATTCTCAGAATATTCTTTGTGATGATGGAGTTTCACTCACAGAGCTGAACATGCCTTTTGATGGAGCAGTTTCCAAATACACTTTTGGTAGAATCTGCAGGTGGATATTTGGAGCTCTCTGAGGATTTCGTTGGAAACGGGAATAATTTCCCATAACTAAACACAAACACTCTGAGAAAGTTCTTCATGATGAATGCATTTAACTCGCAGAGATGAACCTGCCTTTGAGAGTTCAGGTTCGAAACACTCTTTCTGTAGAATCTGCAAGTGGATATTTGGACCACTGGGTGGCCTTCGTTCGAAACGGGTATATGTTCACGTAAAAACTAAAGAGAAGCATTCTCAGAAACTTCTGAGTGATGATTGCATTCAAGTCACACAGTTGAACCCTCCTTTTGATGGAGCAGTTTTGAAACTGTCTTTTTGTAGAATCTGTAAGTGGATGCGTGGACCTCTTTGAAGATTTCTTTGGAAACGGGAATATTTCCACAGAAAAACTAAACTGAAGCATTCTCAGAAACTGCTTTGTGATGTTTGTGTTCGAGCCACAGAGTTTAACATTGCTTTTCATAGAGCAGTTTTGAAATATTCTTTTCGCAGAATCTGCAAGTGGACATTTGGAGCGCTTTCAGGCCTGTGGTGGCAAAGGCCTGAAAGCCTTTTCCTTTATCTTCACAGAAAGACGAGAGAGAAGCATTGTCAGAAACTTCTTTGTGATGATTGCATTCAACTCACAGAGTTGAAGATTCCTTTTGAAACAGCAGTTTCGAAACACTCTTTCTGTGGGATCCGCAAGGGGATATTTGGACCTCTTTGAAGGTTTCGTTGGAAACGGGATAATCTTCACCTAAAAGCTAAACGGAAGCATTCTCAGAAACTTCTTTGGGATGTTTGCATTCACCTCACAGAGTTGAACTTTCCCTTTGATAGCGCAGCTTCGACACACTTTTTCTACAATGTGCAAGTGGCTATTTAGCGGGCTTGGAGGACTGTGTTGGAAAAGGAAATATCTTCTCCTAAAAACGACATAGAAGCATTCTCAGAAACTGCTCTGTGATGATTGCATTCAACTCCCAGAGTTGAACATTCCTTTTGATAGAGCAGTTTGCAAACACTCTTTTTGTAGAATCTGCAAGTGGAGATTTGGACCGCTTTGAGGCCTGTGGTAGTAAAGGAAAGAACTTCATATAAAAACCAGACGGTAGCACTCTCAGAAAATTCTTTGTGACGATGGAGTTTAACTCAGAGAGCTGAACATTCGTTATGATGGAGCAGTTTCCAAACACACGTTTTGTAGAATCTGCAAGGGGATATTTGGACCTCTCTGAGGATTTCGTTGGAAACGGGATCAACTTCCCATAACTGAACGGAAGCAAACTCAGAACATTCTTTGTTATGTTTGTATTCAACTCACAGAGTTGAACCTTCCTTTGATAGTTCAGGTTTGCATCACCCTTGTAGTAGAATCTGCAAGTGTATATTTTGACCACTTTGTAGCCTTCGTTTGAAACGTCTATATCTTCACATCAAACCTAGACAGAAGCATTCTCAGAAAGTTTTCTGCGATGACTGCATTCAACTCACAGAGTTGAACAATCCTTTTGATGGAGCAGTTTTGAAACCCTCTTTCTTTGGAATCTGCAAGGGGATATGTGGACCTCTTTGAAGATTTCACTGGAAACGGGATCATCTTCACATAAGAACTAAACAGAAGCATTCTCCGAAACGACTTTGTGATGTTTGTATTCAACTCCCAGAGTTGAACATTCCTTTTGAAAGAGCAGCTATGAAACACTCTTTTTCGAGAATCTGCAAGTGGACGTTTGGAGGGCTTTGAGGCCTGTGGTGGAAAAGGAAATATCTTCACATAAAAACTAGATAGAAGCATTCTCAGAAACGACTTTGTGAGGATGGCATTCAACTCATGGAGTTGAACAATCCTATTGATAGAGCAGATTGGAATCACTCTTTTTGTAGAATCTGCAAATGGAGATTTGGACTGCTTTGAGGCCTACGGTAGTATAGGAAGGAACTTCATATAAAAGGCAAACGGAAGCATTCTCAGAATATTCTTTGTGATGATGGAGTTTCACTCACAGAGCTGAACATGCCTTTTCATGGAGCAGTTTCCAAATACACTTTTGGTAGAATCTGCAGGTGGATATTTGGAGCTCTCTGAGGATTTCGTTGGAAACGGGAATAATTTTCCATAACTAAACACAAACACGCTGAGAAAGTTCTTCATGATGAATGCATTGAACTCGCAGAGATGAACCTGCCTTTGAGAGTTCAGGTTCGAAACACTCTTTCTGTAGAATCTGCAAGTGGATATTTGGACCACTGGGTGGCCTTCGTTCGAAACGGGTATATGTTCACCTAAAAACTAAAGAGAGCATTCTCAGAAACTTCTGAGTGATGATTGCATTCAAGTCACACAGTTGAACCCTCCTTTTGATGGAGCAGTTTTGAAACTGTCTTTTTGTAGAATCTGTAAGTGGATACGTGGACCTCTTTGAAGATTTCTTTGGAAACGGGAATATTTCCACAGAAAAACTAAACTGAAACATTCTCAGAAACCGCTTTGTGATGTTTGTGTTCCAGCCACAGAGTTTAACATTGCTTTTCATAGAGCAGTTTTGAAATATTCTTTTCGCAGAATCTGCAAGTGGACATTTGGAGCGCTTTCAGGCCTGTGGTGGAAAAGGCCTGAAAGCCTTTTCCTTTATCTTCACAGAAAGACGAGAGAGAAGTATTGTCAGAAACTTCTTTGTGATGATTGCATTCAACTCACAGAGTTGAAGATTCCTTTTGAAACAGCAGTTTCGAAACACTCTTTCTGTGGGATCCGCAAGGGGATATTTGGACCTCTTTGAAGGTTTCGTTGGAAACGGGATAATCTTCACCTAAAAGCTAAACGGAAGCATTCTCAGAAACTTCTTTGGGATGTTTGCATTCACCTCACAGAGTTGAACTTTCCCTTTGATAGCGCAGCTTTGACACACTTTTTCTACAATGTGCAAGTGGCTATTTAGCGGGCTTGGAGGACTGTGTTGGAAAAGGAAATATCTTCTCCTAAAAACGACATAGAAGCATTCTCAGAAACTGCTCTGTGACGATTGCATTCAACTCCCAGAGTTGAACATTCCTTTTGATAGAGCAGTTTGCAAACACTCTTTTTGTAGAATCTGCAAGTGGAGATTTGGACCGCTTTGAGGCCTGTGGTAGTGAAGGAAAGAAATTCATATAAAAACCAGACGGTAGCACTCTCAGAAAATTCTTTGTGACGATGGAGTTTAACTCAGGGAGCTGAACATTCGTTATGATGGAGCAGTTTCCAAACACACGTTTTGTAGAATCTGCAAGGGGATATTTGGACCTCTCTGAGGATTTCGTTGGAAACGGGATCAACTTCCCATAACTGAACGGAAGCAAACTCAGAACATTCTTTGTGATGTTTGTATTCAACTCACAGAGTTGAACCTTCCTTTGATAGTTCAGGTTTGCAACACCCTTGTAGTAGAATCTGCAAGTGTATATTTTGACCACTTTGTAGCCTTCGTTTGAAACGTCTATATCTTCACATCAAACCTAGAAAGAAGCATTCTCAGAAAGTTTTCTGCGATGACTGCATTCAACTCACAGAGTTGAACAATCCTTCTGATGGAGCAGTTTTGAAACCCTCTTTCTTTGGAATCTGCAAGGGGATATGTGGACCTCTTTGAAGATTTCACTGGAAACGGGATCATCTTCACATAAAAACTAAACAGAAGCATTCTCGGAAACTACTTTGTGATGTTTGTATTCAACTCCCAGAGTTGAACTTTCCTTTTGAAAGAGCAGCTATGAAACACTCTTTTTCGAGGATCTGCAAGTGGACGTTTGGAGGGCTTTGAGGCCTGTGGTGGAAAAGGAAATATCTTCACATAAAAACTAGATAGAAGCATTCTCAGAAACGACTTTGTGAGGATGGCATTCAACTCATGGAGTTGAACAATCCTATTGATAGAGCAGATTGGAATCACTCTTTTGGTAGAATCTGCAAATGGAGATTTGGACTGCTTTGAGGCCTACGGTAGTATAGGAAGGAACTTCATATAAAAGGCAAACGGAAGCATTCTCAGAATATTCTTTGTGATGATGGAGTTTGACTCACAGAGCTGAACATGCCTTTTGATGGAGCAGTTTCCAAATACACTTTTGGTAGAATCTGCAGGTGGATATTTGGACCTCTCTGAGGATTTCGTTGGAAACGGGAATAATTTCCCATACCTAAACACAAACACTCTGAGAAAGTTCTTCATGATGAATGCATTGAACTCGCAGAGATGAACCTGCCTTTGAGAGTTCAGGTTCGAAACACTCTTTCTGTAGAATCTGCAAGTGGATATTTGGACCACTGGGTGGCCTTCGTTCGAAACGGGTATATGTTCACGTAAAAACTAAAGAGAAGCGTTCTCAGAAACTTCTGAGTGATGATTGCATTCAAGTCACACGGTTGAACCCTCCTTTTGATTGAGCAGTTTTGAAACTGTCTTTTTGTAGAATCTGTAAGTGGATGCGTGGACCTCTTTGAAGATTTCTTTCGAAACGGGAATATTTCCACAGAAAAACTAAACTGAAGCATTCTCAGAAACTGCTTTGTGATGTTTGTGTTCGAGCCGCAGAGTTTAACATTGCTTTTCATAGAGCAGTTTTGAAATATTCTTTTGGCAGAATCTGCAAGTGGACATTTGGAGCGCTTTCAGGCCTGTGGTGGAAAAGGCCTGAAAGCCTTTTCCTTTATCTTCACAGAAAGACGAGAGAGAAGCATTGTCAGAAACTTCTTTGTGATGATTGCATTCAACCCACAGAGTTGAAGATTCCTTTTGAAACAGCAGTTTCGAAACACTCTTTCTGTGGGATCCGCAAGGGGATATTTGGACCTCTTTGAAGATTTCGTTGGAAACGGGATAATCTTCACCTAAAAGCTAAACGGAAGCATTCTCAGAAACTTCTTTGGGATGTTTGCATTCACCTCACAGAGTTGAACTTTCCCTTTGATAGCGCAGCTTCGACACACTTTTTCTACAATGTGCAAGTGGATATTTAGCGGGCTTGGAGGACTGTGTTGGAAAAGGAAATATCTTCTCCTAAAAACGACATAGAAGCATTCTCAGAAACTGCTCTGTGATGATTGCATTCAACTCCCAGAGTTGAACATTCCTTTTGATAGAGCAGTTTGCAAACACTCTTTTTGTAGAATCTGCAAGTGGAGATTTGGACCGCTTTGAGGCCTGTGGTAATAAAGGAAAGAACTTCATATAAAAACCAGACGGTAGCACTCTCAGAAAATTCTTTGTGACGATGGAGTTTAACTCAGAGAGCTGAACATTCGTTATGATGGAGCAGTTTCCAAACACACGTTTTGTAGAATCTGCAAGGGGATATTTGGACCTCTCTGAGGATTTCGTTGGAAACGGTATCAATTTCCCATAACTAAACGGAAGCAAACTCAGAACATTTTTTGTGATGGTTGCATTCATCTCACAGAGTTGAACCTTCCTTTGATAGTTGAGGTTTGCATCACCCTTGTAGTAGAATCTGCAAGTGTATATTTTGACCACTTTGTAGCCTTCGTTTGAAACGTCTATATCTTCACATCAAACCTAGACAGAAGCATTCTCAGAAAGTTTTCTGCGATGACTGCATTCAACTCACAGAGTTGAACAATCCTTTTGATGGAGCAGTTTTGAAACCCTCTTTCTTTGGAATCTGCAAGGGGATATGTGGACCTCTTTGAAGATTTCACTGGAAACGGGATCATCTTCACATAAGAACTAAACAGAAGCATTCTCGGAAACTACTTTGTGATGTTTGTATTCAACTCCCAGAGTTGAACTTTCCTTTTGAAAGAGCAGCTATGAAACACTCTTTTTCGAGAATCTGCAAGTGGACGTTTGGAGGGCTTTGAGGCCTGTGGTGGAAAAGGAAATATCTTCACATAAAAACTAGATAGAAGCATTCTCAGAGACTACTTTGTGAGGATGGCATTCAACTCATGGAGTTGAACTATCCTATTGATAGAGCAGATTGGAATCACTCTTTTTGTAGGATCTGCAAATGGAGATTTGGACTGCTTTGAGGCCTACGGTAGTACAGGAAGGAACTTCATATAAAAGGCAAACGGAAGCATTCTCAGAATATTCTTTGTGATGATGGAGTTTCACTCACAGAACTGAACATGCCTTTTGATGGAGCAGTTTCCAAATACACTTTTGGTAGAATCTGCAGGTGGATATTTGGACCTCTCTGAGGATTTCTTTGGAAACTGGAATAATTTCCCATAACTAAACACAAACACTCTGAGAAAGTTCTTCATGATGAATGCATTGAACTCGCAGAGATGAACCTGCCTTTGAGAGTTCAGGTTCGAAACACTCTTTCTGTAGAATCTGCAAGTGGATATTTGGACCACTGGGTGGCCTTCGTTCGAAACGGGTATATGTTCACGTAAAAACTAAAGAGAAGCATTCTCAGAAACTTCTGAGTGATGATTGCATTCAAGTCACACGGTTGAACCCTCCTTTTGATTGAGCAGTTTTGAAACTGTCTTTTTGTAGAATCTGTAAGTGGATACGTGGACCTCTTTGAAGATTTCTTTCGAAACGGGAATATTTCCACAGAAAAACTAAACTGAAGCATTCTCAGAAACTGCTTTGTGATGTTTGTGTTCGAGCCGCAGAGTTTAACATTGCTTTTCATAGAGCAGTTTTGAAATATTCTTTTGGCAGAATCTGCAAGTGGACATTTGGAGCGCTTTCAGGCCTGTGGTGGAAAAGGCCTGAAAGCCTTTTCCTTTATCTTCACAGAAAGACGAGAGAGAAGCATTGTCAGAAACTTCTTTGTGATGATTGCATTCAACTCACAGAGTTGAAGATTCCTTTTGAAACAGCAGTTTCGAAACACTCTTTCTGTGGGATCCGCAAGGGGATATTTGGACCTCTTTGAAGGTTTCGTTGGAAACGGGATAATCTTCACCTAAAAGGTAAACGGAAGCATTCTCAGAAACTTCTTTGGGATGTTTTCACTCTCCTCACAGAGTTGAACTTTCCCTTTGATAGCGCAGCTTTGACACACTTTTTCTACAATGTGCAAGTGGATATTTAGCGGGCTTGGAGGACTGTGTTGGAAAAGGAAATATCTTCTCCTAAAAACGACATAGAAGCATTCTCAGAAACTGCTCTGTGATGATTGCATTCAACTCCCAGAGTTGAACATTCCTTTTGATAGAGCAGTTTGCAAACACTCTTTTTGTAGAATCTGCAAGTGGAGATTTGGACCGCTTTGAGGCCTGTGGTAGTGAAGGAAAGAACTTCATATAAAAACCAGACGGTAGCACTCTCAGAAAATTCTTTGTGACGATGGAGTTTAACTCAGGGAGCTGAACATTCGTTATGATGGAGCAGTTTCCAAACACACGTTTTGTAGAATCTGCAAGGGGATATATGGACCTCTCTGAGGATTTCGCTGGAAACGGGATCAACTTCCCATAACTGAACGGAAGCAAACTCAGAACATTCTTTGTGATGTTTGTATTCAACTCACAGAGTTGAACCTTCCTTTGATAGTTCAGGTTTGCAACACCCTTGTAGTAGAATCTGCAAGTGTATATTTTGACCACTGTGTAGCCTTCGTTTGAAACGTCTATATCTTCACATCAAACCTAGACAGAAGCATTCTCAGAAAGTTTTCTGCGATGACTGCATTCAACTCACAGAGTTGAACAATCCTTTTGATGGAGCAGTTTTGAAACCCTCTTTCTTTGGAATCTGCAAGGGGATATGTGGACCTCTTTGAAGATTTCACTGGAAACGGGATCATCTTCACATAAAAACTAAACAGAAGCATTCTTGGAAACTATTTTGTGATGTTTGTATTCAACTCCCAGAGTTGAACTTTCCTTTTGAAAGAGCAGCTATGAAACACTCTTTTTCGAGAATCTGCAAGTGGACGTTTGGAGGGCTTTGAGGCCTGTGGTGGAAAAGGAAATATCTTCACACAAAAACCAGATAGAAGCATTCTCAGAAACGACTTTGTGAGGATGGCATTCAACTCATGGAGTTGAACAATCCTATTGATAGAGCAGATTGGAATCACTCTTTTTGTAGAATCTGCAAATGGAGATTTGGACTGCTTTGAGGCCTACGGTCGTATAGGAAGGAACTTCATATAAAAGGCAAACGGAAGCATTCTCAGAATATTCTTTGTAATGATGGAGTTTCACTCACAGAGCGGAACATGCCTTTTGATGGAGCAGTTTCCAAATCCACTTTTGGTAGAATCTGCAGGTGGATATTTGGAGCTCTCTGAGGATTTCGTTGGAAACGGGAATAATTTCCCATAACTAAACACAAACACTCTGAGAAAGTTATTCATGATGAATGCATTTAACTCGCAGAGATGAACCTGCCTTTGAGAGTTCATGTTCGAAACACTCTTTCTGTAGAATCTGCAAGTGGATATTTGGACCACTGGGTGGCCTTCGTTCGAAACGGGTATATGTTCACGTAAAAACTAAAGAGAAGCATTCTCAGAAACTTCTGAGTGATGATTGCATTCAAGTCACACAGTTGAACCCTCCTTTTGATGGAGCAGTTTTGAAACTGTCTTTTTGTAGAATCTGTAAGTGGATACGTGGACCTCTTTGAAGATTTCTTTGGAAACGGGAATATTTCCACAGAAAAACTAAACTGAAGCATTCTCAGAAACCGCTTTGTGATGTTTGTGTTCGAGCCACAGAGTTTACCATTGCTTTTCATAGAGCAGTTTTGAAATATTCTTTTCGCAGAATCTGCAAGTGGACATTTGGAGCGCTTTCAGGCCTGTGGTGGAAAAGGCCTGAAAGCCTTTTCCTTTATCTTCACAGAAAGACGAGAGAGAAGCATTGTCAGAAACTTCTTTGTGATGATTGCATTCAACTCACAGAGTTGAAGATTCCTTTTGAAACAGCAGTTTCGAAACACTCTTTCTGTGGGATCCGCAAGGGGATATTTGGACCTCTTTGAAGGTTTCGTTGGAAACGGGATAATCTTCACCTAAAAGCTAAACGGAAGCATTCTCAGAAACTTCTTTGGGATGTTTGCATTCACCTCACAGAGTTGAACTTTCCCTTTGATAGCGCAGCTTTGACACACTTTTTCTACAATGTGCAAGTGGCTATTTAGCGGGCTTGGAGGACTGTGTTGGAAAAGGAAATATCTTCTCCTAAAAACGACATAGAAGCATTCTCAGAAACTGCTCTGTGATGATTGCATTCAACTCCCAGAGTTGAACATTCCTTTTGATAGAGCAGTTTGCAAACACTCTTTTTGTAGAATCTGCAAGTGGAGATTTGGACCGCTTTGAGGCCTGTGGTAGTGAAGGAAAGAACTTCATATAAAAACCAGACGGTAGCACTCTCAGAAAATTCTTTGTGACGATGGAGTTTAACTCAGGGAGCTGAACATTCGTTATGATGGAGCAGTTTCCAAACACACGTTTTGTAGAATCTGCAAGGGGATATTTGGACCTCTCTGAGGATTTCGTTGGAAACGGGATCAACTTCCCATAACTGAACGGAAGCAAACTCAGAACATTCTTTGTGATGTTTGTATTCAACTCACAGAGTTGAACCTTCCTTTGATAGTTCAGGTTTGCAACACCCTTGTAGTAGAATCTGCAAGTGTATATTTTGACCACTTTGTAGCCTTCGTTTGAAACGTCTATATCTTCACATCAAACCTAGAAAGAAGCATTCTCAGAAAGTTTTCTGCGATGACTGCATTCAACTCACAGAGTTGAACAATCCTTTTGATGGAGCAGTTTTGAAACCCTCTTTCTTTGGAATCTGCAAGGGGATATGTGGACCTCTTTGAAGATTTCACTGGAAACGGGATCATCTTCACATAAAAACTAAACAGAAGCATTCTCGGAAACTATTTTGTGATGTTTGTATTCAACTCCCAGAGTTGAACTTTCCTTTTGAAAGAGCAGCTATGAAACACTCTTTTTCGAGAATCTGCAAGTGGACGTTTGGAGGGCTTTGAGGCCTGTGGTGGAAAAGGAAATATCTTCACACAAAAACCAGATAGAAGCATTCTCAGAAACTACTTTGTGAGGATGGCATTCAACTCATGGAGTTGAACAATCCTATTGATAGAGCAGATTGGAATCACTCTTTTTGTAGAATCTGCAAATGGAGATTTGGACTGCTTTGAGGCCTACGGTAGTACAGGAAGGAACTTCATATAAAAGGCAAACGGAAGCATTCTCAGAATATTCTTTGTGATGATGGAGTTTCACTCACAGAGCTGAACATGCCTTTTGATGGAGCAGTTTCCAAATACACTTTTGGTAGAATCTGCAGGTGGATATTTGGAGCTCTCTGAGGATTTCGTTGGAAACGGGAATAATTTCCCATAACTAAACACAAATACTCTGAGAAAGTTCTTCATGATGAATGCATTTAACTCGCAGAGATGAACCTGCCTTTGAGAGTTCAGGTTCGAAACACTCTTTCTGTAGAATCTGCAAGTGGATATTTGGACCACTGGGTGGCCTTCGTTCGAAACGGGTATATGTTCACGTAAAAACTAAAGAGAAGCATTCTCAGAAACTTCTGAGTGATGATTGCATTCAAGTCACACAGTTGAACCCTCCTTTTGATGGAGCAGTTTTGAAACTGTCTTTTTGTAGAATCTGTAAGTGGATACGTGGACCTCTTTGAAGATTTCTTTGGAAACGGGAATATTTCCACAGAAAAACTAAACTGAAGCATTCTCAGAAACTGCTTTGTGATGTTTGTGTTCGAGCCACAGAGTTTAACATTGCTTTTCATAGAGCAGTTTTGAAATATTCTTTTCGCAGAATCTGCAAGTGGACATTTGGAGCGCTTTCAGGCCTGTGGTGGAAAAGGCCTGAAAGCCTTTTCCTTTATCTTCACAGAAAGACGAGAGAGAAGCATTGTCAGAAACTTCTTTGTGATGATTGCATTCAACTCACAGAGTTGAAGATTCCTTTTGAAACAGCAGTTTCGAAACACTCTTTCTGTGGGATCCGCAAGGGGATATTTGGACCTCTTTGAAGGTTTCGTTGGAAACGGGATAATCTTCACCTAAAAGCTAAACGGAAGCATTCTCAGAAACTTCTTTGGGATGTTTGCATTCACCTCACAGAGTTGAACTTTCCCTTTGATAGCGCAGCTTTGACACACTTTTTCTACAATGTGCAAGTGGCTATTTAGCGGGCTTGGAGGATTGTGTTGGAAAAGGAAATATCTTCTCCTAAAAACGACATAGAAGCATTCTCAGAAACTGCTCTGTGATGATTGCATTCAACTCCCAGAGTTGAACATTCCTTTTGATAGAGCAGTTTGCAAACACTCTTTTTGTAGAATCTGCAAGTGGAGATTTGGACCGCTTTGAGGCCTGTGGTAGTGAAGGAAAGAACTTCATATAAAAACCAGACGGTAGCACTCTCAGAAAATTCTTTGTGACGATGGAGTTTAACTCAGGGAGCTGAACATTCGTTATGATGGAGCAGTTTCCAAACACACTTTTTGTAGAATCTGCAAGGGGATATTTGGACCTCTCTGAGGATTTCGTTGGAAACGGGATCAACTTCCCATAACTGAACGGAAGCAAACTCAGAACATTCTTTGTGATGTTTGTATTCAACTCACAGAGTTGAACCTTCCTTTGATAGTTCAGGTTTGCAACACCCTTGTAGTAGAATCTGCAAGTGTATATTTTGACCACTTTGTAGCCTTCGTTTGAAACATCTATATCTTCACATCAAACCTAGACAGAAGCATTCTCAGAAAGTTTTCTGCGATGACTGCATTCAACTCACAGAGTTGAACAATCCTTCTGATGGAGCAGTTTTGAAACCCTCTTTCTTTGGAATCTTCAAGGGGATATGTGGACCTCTTTGAAGATTTCACTGGAAACGGGATCATCTTCACATAAAAACTAAACTGAAGCATTCTCGGAAACTACTTTGTGATGTTTGTATTCAACTCCCAGAGTTGAACTTTCCTTTTGAAAGAGCAGCTATGAAACACTCTTTTTCGAGAATCTGCAAGTGGACGTTTGGAGGGCTTTGAGGCCTGTGGTGGAAAAGGAAATATCTTCACACAAAAACCAGATAGAAGCATTCTCAGAAACTACTTTGTGAGGATGGCATTCAACTCATGGAGTTGAACAATCCTATTGATAGAGCAGATTGGAATCACTCTTTTTGTAGAATCTGCAAATGGAGATTTGGACTGCTTTGAGGCCTACGGTAGTACAGGAAGGAACTTCATATAAAAGGCAAACGGAAGCATTCTCAGAATATTCTTTGTGATGATGGAGTTTCACTCACAGAGCTGAACATGCCTTTTGATGGAGCAGTTTCCAAATACGCTTTTGGTAGAATCTGCAGGTGGATATTTGGAGCTCTCTGAGGATTTCGTTGGAAACGGGAATAATTTCCCATAACTAAACACAAACACTCTGAGAAAGTTCTTCATGATGAATGCATTTAACTCGCAGAGATGAACCTGCCTTTGAGAGTTCAGGTTCGAAACACTCTTTCTGTATAATCTGCAAGTGGATATTTGGACCACTGGGTGGCCTTCGTTCGAAACGGGTATATGTTCACGTAAAAACTAAAGAGAAGCATTCTCAGAAACTTCTGAGTGATGATTGCATTCAAGTCACACAGTTGAACCCTCCTTTTGATGGAGCAGTTTTGAAACTGTCTTTTTGTAGAATCTGTAAGTGGATACGTGGACCTCTTTGAAGATTTCTTTGGAAACGGGAATATTTCCACAGAAAAACTAAACTGAAGCATTCTCAGAAACCGCTTTGTGATGTTTGTGTTCGAGCCACAGAGTTTAACATTGCTTTTCATAGAGCAGTTTTGAAATATTCTTTTCGCAGAATCTGCAAGTGGACATTTGGAGCGCTTTCAGGCCTGTGGGTGGAAAAGGCCTGAAAGCCTTTTCCTTTATCTTCACAGAAAGACGAGAGAGAAGCATTGTCAGAAACTTCTTTGTGATGATTGCATTCAACTCACAGAGTTGAAGATTCCTTTTGAAACAGCAGTTTCGAAACACTCTTTCTGTGGGATCCGCAAGGGGATATTTGGACCTCTTTGAAGGTTTCGTTGGAAACGGGATAATCTTCACCTAAAAGCTAAACGGAAGCATTCTCAGAAACTTCTTTGGGATGTTTGCATTCACCTCACAGAGTTGAACTTTCCCTTTGATAGCGCAGCTTTGACACACTTTTTCTACAATGTGCAAGTGGATATTTAGCGGGCTTGGAGGACTGTGTTGGAAAAGGAAATATCTTCTCCTAAAAACGACATAGAAGCATTCTCAGAAACTGCTCTGTGATGATTGCATTCAACTCCCAGAGTTGAACATTCCTTTTGATAGAGCAGTTTGCAAACACTCTTTTTGTAGAATCTGCAAGTGGAGATTTGGACCGCTTTGAGGCCTGTGGTAGTGAAGGAAAGAACTTCATATAAAAACCAGACGGTAGCACTTTCAGAAAATTCTTTGTGACGATGGAGTTTAACTCAGGGAGCTGAACATTCGTTATGATGGAGCAGTTTCCAAACACACGTTTTGTAGAATCTGCAAGGGGATATTTGGACCTCTCTGAGGATTTCGTTGGAAACGGGATCAACTTCCCATAACTGAACGGAAGCAAACTCAGAACATTCTTTGTGATGTTTGTATTCAACTCACAGAGTTGAACCTTCCTTTGATAGTTCAGGTTTGCAACACCCTTGTAGTAGAATCTGCAAGTGTATATTTTGACCACTTTGTAGCCTTCGTTTGAAACGTCTATATCTTCACATCAAACCTAGACAGAAGCATTCTCAGAAAGTTTTCTGCGATGACTGCATTCAACTCACAGAGTTGAACAATCCTTCTGATGGAGCAGTTTTGAAACCCTCTTTCTTTGCAATATGCAAGGGGATATGTGGACCTCTTTGAAGATTTCACTGGAAACGGGATCATCTTCACATAAAAACTAAACAGAAGCATTCTCGGAAACTACTTTGTGATGTTTGTATTCAACTCCCAGAGTTGAACTTTCCTTTTGAAAGAGCAGCTATGAAACACTCTTTTTCGAGAATCTGCAAGTGGACGTTTGGAAGGCTTTGAGGCCTGTGGTGGAAAAGGAAATATCTTCACATAAAAACTAGATAGAAGCATTCTCAGAAACTACTTTGTGACGATGGCATTCAACTCATGGAGTTGAACAATCCTATTGATAGAGCAGATTGGAATCACTCTTTTTGTAGAATCTGCAAATGGAGATTTGGACTGCTTTGAGGCCTACGGTAGTATAGGAAGGAACTTCATAAAAAGGCAAACGGAAGCATTTTCAGAATATTCTTTGTGATGATGGAGTTTCACTCACAGAGCTGAACATGCCTTTTGATGGAGCAGTTTCCAAATACACTTTTGGTAGAATCTGCAGGTGGATATTTGGACCTCTCTGAGGATTTCGTTGGAAACGGGAATAATTTCCCATAACTAAACACAAACACTCTGAGAAAGTTCTTCATGATGAATGCATTTAACTCGCAGAGATGAACCTGCCTTTGAGAGTTCAGGTTCGAAACACTCTTTCTGTAGAATCTGCAAGTGGATATTTGGACCACTGGGTGGCTTCGTTCGAAACGGGTATATGTTCACGTAAAAACTAAAGAGAAGCATTCTCAGCAAACTTCTGAGTGATGATTGCATTCAAGTCACACAGTTGAACCCTCCTTTTGATTGAGCAGTTTTGAAACTGTCTTTTTGTAGAATCTGTAAGTGGATACGTGGACCTCTTTGAAGATTTCTTTGGAAACGGGAATATTTCCACAGAAAAACTAAACTGAAACATTCTCACAAACCGCTTTGTGATGTTTGTGTTCCAGCCACAGAGTTTAACATTGCTTTTCATAGAGCAGTTTTGAAATATTCTTTTGGCAGAATCTGCAAGTGGACATTTGGAGCGCTTTCAGGCCTGTGGTGGCAAAGGCCTGAAAGCCTTTTCCTTTATCTTCACAGAAAGACGAGAGAGAAGCATTGTCAGAAACTTCTTTGTGATGATTGCATTCAACTCACAGAGTTGAAGATTCCTTTTGAAACAGCAGTTTCGAAACACTCTTTCTGTGGGATCCGCAAGGGGATATTTGGACCTCTTTGAAGGTTTCGTTGGAAACGGGATAATCTTCACCTAAAAGCTAAACGGAAGCATTCTCAGAAACTTCTTTGGGATGTTTGCATTCACCTCACAGAGTTGAACTTTCCCTTTGATAGCGCAGCTTTGACACACTTTTTCTACAATGTGCAAGTGGCTATTTAGCGGGCTTGGAGGACTGTGTTGGAAAAGGAAATATCTTCTCCTAAAAACGACATAGAAGCATTCTCAGAAACTGCTCTGTGATGATTGCATTCAACTCCCAGAGTTGAACATTCCTTTTGATAGAGCAGTTTGCAAACACTCTTTTTGTAGAATCTGCAAGTGGAGATTTGGACCGCTTTGAGGCCTGTGGTAGTGAAGGAAAGAACTTCATATAAAAACCAGACGGTAGCACTCTCAGAAAATTCTTTGTGACGATGGAGTTTAACTCAGGGAGCTGAACATTCGTTATGATGGAGCAGTTTCCAAACACACGTTTTGTAGAATCTGCAAGGGGATATTTGGACCTCTCTGAGGATTTCGTTGGAAACGGGATCAACTTCCCATAACTGAACGGAAGCAAACTCAGAACATTCTTTGTGATGTTTGTATTCAACTCACAGAGTTGAACCTTCCTTTGATAGTTCAGGTTTGCAACACCCTTGTAGTAGAATCTGCAAGTGTATATTTTGACCACTTTGTAGCCTTCGTTTGAAACGTCTATATCTTCACATCAAACCTAGACAGAAGCATTCTCAGAAAGTTTTCTGCGATGACTGCATTCAACTCACAGAGTTGAACAATCCTTCTGATGGAGCAGTTTTGAAACCCTCTTTCTTTGGAATCTGCAAGGGGATATGTGGACCTCTTTGAAGATTTCACTGGAAACGGGATCATCTTCACATAAAAACTAAACAGAAGCATTCTCGGAAACTACTTTGTGATGTTTGTATTCAACTCCCAGAGTTGAACTTTCCTTTTGAAAGAGCAGCTATGAAACACTCTTTTTCGAGAATCTGCAAGTGGACGTTTGGAGGGCTTAGAGGCCTGTGGTGGAAAAGGAAATATCTTCACATAAAAACTAGATAGAAGCATTCTCAGAAACTACTTTGTGAGGATGGCATTCAACTCATGGAGTTGAACAATCCTATTGATAGAGCAGATTGGAATCACTCTTTTTGTAGAATCTGCAAATGGAGATTTGGACTGCTTTGAGGCCTACGGTCGTATAGGAAGGAACTTCATATAAAAGGCAAACGGAAGCATTCTCAGAATATTCTTTGTGATGATGGAGTTTCACTCACAGAGCTGAACATGCCTTTTGATGGAGCAGTTTCCAAATACACTTTTGGTAGAATCTGCAGGTGGATATTTGGAGCTCTCTGAGGATTTCGTTGGAAACGGGAATAATTTCCCATAACTAAACACAAACACTCTGAGAAAGTTCTTCATGATGAATGCATTTAACTCGCAGAGATGAACCTGCCTTTGAGAGTTCAGGTTCGAAACACTCTTTCTGTAGAATCTGCAAGTGGATATTTGGACCACTGGCTGGGTTCGTTCGAAACGGGTATATGTTCACGTAAAAACTAAAGAGAAGCATTCTCAGAAACTTCTGAGTGATGATTGCATTCAAGTCACACAGTTGAACCCTCCTTTTGATGGAGCAGTTTTGAAACTGTCTTTTTGTAGAATCTGTAAGTGGATACGTGGACCTCTTTGAAGATTTCTTTGGAAACGGGAATATTTCCACAGAAAAACTAAACTGAAGCATTCTCAGAAACCGCTTTGTGATGTTTGTGTTCGAGCCACAGAGTTTAACATTGCTTTTCATAGAGCAGTTTTGAAATATTCTTTTGGCAGAATCTGCAAGTGGACATTTGGAGCGCTTTCAGGCCTGTGGTGGAAAAGGCCTGAAAGCCTTTTCCTTTATCTTCACAGAAAGACGAGAGAGAAGCATTGTCAGAAACTTCTTTGGGATGATTGCATTCAACTCACAGAGTTGAAGATTCCTTTTGAAACAGCAGTTTCGAAACACTCTTTCTGTGGGATCCGCAAGGGGATATTTGGACCTCTTTGAAGGTTTCGTTGGAAACGGGATAATCTTCACCTAAAAGCTAAACGGAAGCATTCTCAGAAACTTCTTTGGGATGTTTGCATTCACCTCACAGAGTTGAACTTTCCCTTTGATAGCGCAGCTTTGACACACTTTTTCTACAATGTGCAAGTGGCTATTTAGCGGGCTTGGAGGACTGTGTTGGAAAAGGAAATATCTTCTCCTAAAAACGACATAGAAGCATTCTCAGAAACTGCTCTGTGATGATTGCATTCAACTCCCAGAGTTGAACATTCCTTTTGATAGAGCAGTTTGCAAACACTCTTTTTGTAGAATCTGCAAGTGGAGATTTGGACCGCTTTGAGGTCTGTGGTAGTGAAGGAAAGAACTTCATATAAAAACCAGACGGTAGCACTCTCAGAAAATTCTTTGTGACGATGGAGTTTAACTCAGGGAGCTGAACATTCGTTATGATGGAGCAGTTTCCAAACACACGTTTTGTAGAATCTGCAAGGGGATATTTGGACCTCTCTGAGGATTTCGTTGGAAACGGGATCAACTTCCCATAACTGAACGGAAGCAAACTCAGAACATTCTTTGTGATGTTTGTATTCAACCCACAGAGTTGAACCTTCCTTTGATAGTTCAGGTTTGCAACACCCTTGTAGTAGAATCTGCAAGTGTATATTTTGACCACTTTGTAGCCTTCGTTTGAAACGTCTATATCTTCACATCAAACCTAGACAGAAGCATTCTCAGAAAGTTTTCTGCGATGACTGCATTCAACTCACAGAGTTGAACAATCCTTCTGATGGAGCAGTTTTGAAACCCTCTTTCTTTGGAATCTGCAAGGGGATATGTGGACCTCTTTGAAGATTTCACTGGAAACGGGATCATCTTCACATAAAAACTAAACAGAAGCATTCTCGGAAACTATTTTGTGATGTTTGCATTCAACTCCCAGAGTTGAACTTTCCTTTTGAAAGAGCAGCTATGAAACACTCTTTTTCGAGAATCTGCAAGTGGACGTTTGGAGGGCTTTGAGGCCTGTGGTGGAAAAGGAAATATCTTCACACAAAAACCAGATAGAAGCATTCTCAGAAACTACTTTGTGAGGATGGCATTCAACTCATGGAGTTGAACAATCCTATTGATAGAGCAGATTGGAATCACTCTTTTTATAGAATCTACAAATGGAGATTTGGACTGCTTTGAGGCCTACGGTAGTACAGGAAGGAACTTCAGATAAAAGGCAAACGGAAGCATTCTCAGAATATTCTTTGTGATGATGGAGTTTCACTCACAGAGCTGAACATGCCTTTTGATGGAGCAGTTTCCAAATACACTTTTGGTAGAATCTGCAGGTGGATATTTGGAGCTCTCTGAGGATTTCGTTGGAAACGGGAATAATTTCCCATAACTAAACACAAACACTCTGAGAAAGTTCTTCATGATGAATGCATTTAACTCGCAGAGATGAACCTGCCTTTGAGAGTTCAGGTTCGAAACACTCTTTCTGTATAATCTGCAAGTGGATATTTGGACCACTGGGTGGCCTTCGTTCGAAACGGGTATATGCTCACGTAAAAACTAAAGAGAAGCATTCTCAGAAACTTCTGAGTGATGATTGCATTCAAGTCACACGGTTGAACCCTCCTTTTGATGGAGCAGTTTTGAAACTGTCTTTTTGTAGAATCTGTAAGTGGATACGTGGACCTCTTTGAAGATTTCTTTGGAAACGGGAATATTTCCACAGAAAAACTAAACTGAAGCATTCTCAGAAACGGCTTTGTGATGTTTGTGTTCGAGCCGCAGAGTTTAACATTGCTTTTCATAGAGCAGTTTTGAAATATTCTTTTGGCAGAATCTGCAAGTGGACATTTGGAGTGCTTTCAGGCCTGTGGTGGAAAAGGCCTGAAAGCCTTTTCCTTTATCTTCACAGAAAGACGAGAGAGAAGCATTGTCAGAAACTTCTTTGTGATGATTGCATTCAACTCACAGAGTTGAAGATTCCTTTTGAAACAGCAGTTTCGAAACACTCTTTCTGTGGGATCCGCAAGGGGATATTTGGACCTCTTTGAAGATTTCGTTGGAAACGGGATAATCTTCACCTAAAAGCTAAACGGAAGCATTCTCAGAAACTTCTTTGGGATGTTTGCATTCACCTCACAGAGTTGAACTTTCCCTTTGATAGCGCAGCTTCGACACCCTTTTTCTACAATGTGCAAGTGGATATTTAGCGGGCTTGGAGGACTGTGTTGGAAAAGGAAATATCTTCTCCTAAAAACGACATAGAAGCATTCTCAGAAACTGCTCTGTGATGATTGCATTCAACTCCCAGAGTTGAACATTCCTTTTGATAGAGCAGTTTGCAAACACTGTTTTTGTAGAATCTGCAAGTGGAGATTTGGACCGCTTTGAGGCCTGAGGTAGTAAAGGAAAGAACTTCATATAAAAACCAGACGGTAGCACTCTCAGAAAATTTTTTGTGACGATGGAGTTTAACTCAGAGAGCTGAACATTCGTTATGATGGAGCAGTTTCCAAACACACGTTTTGTAGAATCTGCAAGGGGATATTTGGACCTCTCTGAGGATTTCGTTGGAAACGGGATCAACTTCCCATAACTGAACGGAAGCAAACTCAGAACATTCTTTGTGATGTTTGTATTCAACTCACAGAGTTGAACCTTCCTTTGATAGTTCAGGTTTGCAACACCCTTGTAGTAGAATCTGCAAGTGTATATTTTGACCACTTTGTAGCCTTCGTTTGAAACGTCTATATCTTCACCTCAAACCTAGACAGAAGCATTCTCAGAAAGTTTTCTGCGATGACTGCATTCAACTCACAGAGTTGAACAATCCTTTTGATGGAGCAGTTTTGAAACCCTCTTTCTTTGGAATCTGCAAGGGGATATGTGGACCTCTTTGAAGATTTCACTGGAAACGGGATCATCTTCACATAAGAACTAAACAGAAGCATTCTCGGAAACTACTTTGTGATGTTTGTATTCAACTCCCAGAGTTGAACTTTCCTTTTGAAAGAGCAGCTATGAAACACTCTTTTTCGAGAATCTGCAAGTGGACGTTTGGAAGGCTTTGAGGCCTGTGGTGGAAAAGGAAATATCTTCACATAAAAACTAGATAGAAGCATTCTCAGAAACGACTTTGTGAGGATGGCATTCAACTCATGGAGTTGAACAATCCTATTGATAGAGCAGATTGGAATCACTCTTTTTGTAGAATCTGCAAATGGAGATTTGGACTGCATTGAGGCCTACGGTCGTATAGGAAGGAACTTCAGATAAAAGGCAAACGGAAGCATTCTCAGAATATTCTTTGTGATGATGGAGTTTCACTCACAGAGCTGAACATGCCTTTTGATGGAGTAGTTTCCAAATACACTTTTGGTAGAATCTGCAGGTGGATATTTGGAGCTCTCTGAGGATTTCGTTGGAAACGGGAATAATTTCCCATAACTAAACACAAACACTCTGAGAAAGTTCTTCATGATGAATGCATTTAACTCGCAGAGATGAACCTGCCTTTGAGAGTTCAGGTTCGAAACACTCTTTCTGTAGAATCTGCAAGTGGATATTTGGACCACTGGGTGGCCTTCGTTCGAAACGGGTATATGTTCACGTAAAAACTAAAGAGAAGCATTCTCAGAAACTTCTGAGTGATGATTGCATTCAAGTCACACAGTTGAACCCTCCTTTTGATGGAGCAGTTTTGAAACTGTCTTTTTGTAGAATCTGTAAGTGGATACGTGGACCTCTTTGAAGATTTCTTTGGAAACGGGAATATTTCCACAGAAAAACTAAACTGAAGCATTCTCAGAAACTGCTTTGTGATGTTTGTGTTCGAGCCACAGAGTTTAACATTGCTTTTCATAGAGCAGTTTTGCAATATTCTTTTCACAGAATCTGCAAGTGGACATTTGGAGCGCTTTCAGGCCTGTGGTGGAAAAGGCCTGAAAGCCTTTTCCTTTATCTTCACAGAAAGACGAGAGAGAAGCATTGTCAGAAACTTCTTTGTGATGATTGCATTCAACTCACAGAGTTGAAGATTCCTTTTGAAACAGCAGTTTCGAAACACTCTTTCTGTGGGATCCGCAAGGGGATATTTGGACCTCTTTGAAGGTTTCGTTGGAAACGGGATAATCTTCACCTAAAAGCTAAACGGAAGCATTCTCAGAAACTTCTTTGGGATGTTTGCATTCACCTCACAGAGTTGAACTTTCCCTTTGATAGCGCAGCTTTGACACACTTTTTCTACAATGTGCAAGTGGCTATTTAGCGGGCTAGGAGGACTGTGTTGGAAAAGGAAATATCTTCTCCTAAAAACGACATAGAAGCATTCTCAGAAACTGCTCTGTGATGATTGCATTCAACTCCCAGAGTTGAACATTCCTTTTGATAGAGCAGTTTGCAAACACTCTTTTTGTAGAATCTGCAAGTGGAGATTTGGACCGCTTTGAGGCCTGTGGTAGTGAAGGAAAGAACTTCATATAAAAACCAGACGGTAGCACTCTCAGAAAATTCTTTGTGACGATGGAGTTTAACTCAGGGAGCTGAACATTCGTTATGATGGAGCAGTTTCCAAACACACGTTTTGTAGAATCTGCGAGGGGATATTTGGACCTCTCTGAGGATTTCGTTGGAAACGGGATCAACTTCCCATAACTGAACGGAAGCAAACTCAGAACATTCTTTGTGATGTTTGTATTCAACTCACAGAGTTGAACCATCCTTTGATAGTTCAGGTTTGTAACACCCTTGTAGTAGAATCTGCAAGTGTATATTTTGACCACATTGTAGCCTTCGTTTGAAACGTCTATATCTTCACATCAAACCTAGACAGAAGCATTCTCAGAAAGTTTTCTGCGATGACTGCATTCAACTCACAGAGTTGAACAATCCTTCTGATGGAGCAGTTTTGAAACCCTCTTTCTTTGGAATCTGCAAGGGGATATGTGGACCTCTTTGAAGATTTCACTGGAAACGGGATCATCTTCACATAAAAACTAAACAGAAGCATTCTCGGAAACTACTTTGTGATGTTTGTATTCAACTCCCAGAGTTGAACTTTCCTTTTGAAAGAGCAGCTATGAAACACTCTTTTTCGAGAATCTGCAAGTGGACGTTTGGAGGGCTTTGAGGCCTGTGGTGGAAAAGGAAATATCTTCACACAAAAACCAGATAGAAGCATTCTCAGAAACTACTTTGTGAGGATGGCATTCAACTCATGGAGTTGAACAATCCTATTGATAGAGCAGATTGGAATCACTCTTTTTATAGAATCTGCAAATGGAGATTTGGACTGCTTTGAGGCCTACGGTAGTATAGGAAGGAACTTCATATAAAAGGCAAACGGAAGCATTCTCAGAATATTCTTTGTGATGATGGAGTTTCACTCACAGAGCTGAACATGCCTTTTGATGGAGCAGTTTCCAAATACACTTTTGGTAGAATCTGCAGGTGGATATTTGGAGCTCTCTGAGGATTTCGTTGGAAACGGGAATAATTTCCCATAACTAAACACAAACACTCTGAGAAAGTTCTTCATGATGAATGCATTTAACTCGCAGAGATGAACCTGCCTTTGAGAGTTCAGGTTCGAAACACTCTTTCTGTATAATCTGCAAGTGGATATTTGGACCACTGGGTGGCCTTCGTTCGAAACGCGTATATGTTCACGTAAAAACTAAAGAGAAGCATTCTCAGAAACTTCTGAGTGATGATTGCATTCAAGTCACACAGTTGAACCCTCCTTTTGATGGAGCAGTTTTGAAACTGTCTTTTTGTAGAATCTGTAAGTGGATACGTGGACCTCTTTGAAGATTTCTTTGGAAACGGGAATATTTCCACAGAAAAACTAAACTGAAGCATTCTCAGAAACTGCTTTGTGATGTTTGTGTTCGAGCCACAGAGTTTAACATTGCTTTTCATAGAGCAGTTTTGAAATATTCTTTTGGCAGAATCTGCAAGTGGACATTTGGAGCGCTTTCAGGCCTGTGGTGGAAAAGGCCTGAAAGCCTTTTCCTTTATCTTCACAGGAAGACGAGAGAGAAGCATTGTCAGAAACTTCTTTGTGATGATTGCATTCAACTCACAGAGTTGAAGATTCCTTTTGAAACAGCAGTTTCGAAACACTCTTTCTGTGGGATCCGCAAGGGGATATTTGGACCTCTTTGAAGGTTTCGTTGGAAACGGGATAATCTTCACCTAAAAGCTAAACGGAAGCATTCTCAGAAACTTCTTTGGGATGTTTGCATTCACCTCTCAGAGTTGAACTTTCCCTTTGATAGCGCAGCTTTGACACACTTTTTCTACAATGTGCAAGTGGCTATTTAGCGGGCTTGGAGGACTGTGTTGGAAAAGGAAATATCTTCTCCTAAAAACGACATAGAAGCATTCTCAGAAACTGCTCTGTGATGATTGCATTCAACTCCCAGAGTTGAACATTCCTTTTGATAGAGCAGTTTGCAAACACTCTTTTTGTAGAATCTGCAAGTGGAGATTTGGACCGCTTTGAGGACTAGGGTAGTAAAGGAAAGAGCTTCATATAAAAACCAGACGGTAGCACTCTCAGAAAATTCTTTGTGACGATGGAGTTTAACTCAGGGAGCTGAACATTCGTTATGATGGAGCAGTTTCCAAACACACGTTTTGTAGAATCTGCAAGGGGATATTTGGACCTCTCTGAGGATTTCGTTGGAAACGGGATCAACTTCCCATAACTGAACGGAAGCAAACTCAGAACATTCTTTGTGATGTTTGTATTCAATTCACAGAGTTGAACCTTCCTTTGATAGTTCAGGTTTGCAACACCCTTGTAGTAGAATCTGCAAGTGTATATTTTGACCACTTTGTAGCCTTCGTTTGAAACGTCTATATCTTCACATCAAACCTAGACAGAAGCATTCTCAGAAAGTTTTCTACGATGACTGCATTCAACTCACAGAGTTGAACAATCCTTCTGATGGAGCAGTTTTTAAACCCTCTTTCTTTGGAATCTGCAAGGGGATATGTGGACCTCTTTGAAGATTTCACTGGAAACGGGATCATCTTCACATAAAAACTAAACAGAAGCATTCTCGGAAACTAATTTGTGATGTTTGTATTCAACTCCCAGAGTTGAACATTCCTTTTGAAAGAGCAGCTATGAAACACTCTTTTTCGAGAATCTGCAAGTGGACGTTTGGAGGGCTTTGAGGCCTGTGGTGGAAAAGGAAATATCTTCACATAAAAACTAGATAGAAGCATTCTCAGAAACGACTTTGTGAGGATGGCATTCAACTCATGGAGTTGAACAATCCTATTGATAGAGCAGATTGGAATCACTCTTTTTGTAGAATCTGCAAATGGAGATTTGGACTGCTTTGAGGCCTACGGTAGTATAGGAAGGAACTTCATATAAAAGGCAAACGGAAGCATTCTCAGAATATTCTTTGTGATGATGGAGTTTCACTCACAGAGCTGAACATGCCTTTTGATGGAGCAGTTTCCAAATACACTTTTGGTAGAATCTGCAGGTGGATATTTGGACCTCTCGGAGGATTTCGTTGGAAACGGGAATAATTTCCCATAACTAAACACAAACACTCTGAGAAAGTTCTTCATGATGAATGCATTTAACTCGCAGAGATGAACCTGCCTTTGAGAGTTCAGGTTCGAAACACTCTTTCTGTAGAATCTGCAAGTGGATATTTGGACCACTGGGTGGCCTTCGTTCGAAACGGGTATATGTTCACGTAAAAACTAAAGAGAAGCATTCTCAGAAACTTCTGAGTGATGATTGCATTCAAGTCACACAGTTGAACCCGCCTTTTGTTTGAGCAGTTTTGAAACTGTCTTTTTGTAGAATCTGTAAGTGGATACGTGGACCTCTTTGAAGATTTCTTTGGAAAGGGGAATATTTCCACAGAAAAACTAAACTGAAGCATTCTCAGAAACTGCGTTGTGATGTTGGTGTTCGAGCCGCAGAGTTTAACATTGCTTTTCATAGAGCAGTTTTGAAATATTCTTTTGGCAGAATCTGCAAGTGGACATTTGGAGCGCTTTCAGGCCTGTGGTGGAAAAGGCCTGAAAGCCTTTTCCTTTATCTTCACAGAAAGACGAGAGAGAAGAATTGTCAGAAACTTCTTTGTGATGATTGCATTCAACTCACAGAGTTGAAGATTCCTTTTGAAACAGCAGTTTCGAAACACTCTTTCTGTGGGATCCGCAAGGGGATATTTGGACCTCTTTGAAGATTTCGTTGGAAACGGGATAATCTTCACCTAAAAGCTAAACGGAAGCATTCTCAGAAACTTCTTTGGGATGTTTGCATTCACCTCACAGAGTTGAACTTTCCCTTTGATAGCGCAGCTTCGACCCACTTTTTCTACAATGTGCAAGTGGATATTTAGCGGGCTTGGAGGACTGTGTTGGAAAAGGAAATATCTTCTCCTAAAAACAACATAGAAGCATTCTCAGGAACTGCTCTGTGATGATTGCATTCAACTCCCAGAGTTGAACATTCCTTTTGATAGAGCAGTTTGCAAACACTCTTTTTGTAGAATCTGCAAGTGGAGATTTGGACCGCTTTGAGGCCTGTGGTAGTAAAGGAAAGAACTTCATATAAAAACTAGACGGTAGCACTCTCAGAAAATTCTTTGTGACGATGGAGTTTAACTCAGAGAGCTGAACATTCGTTATGATGGAGCAGTTTCCAAACACACGTTTTGCAGAATCTGCAAGGGGATATTTGGACCTCTCTGAGGATTTCGTTGGAAACGGGATCAACTTCCCATAACTGAACGGAAGCAAACTCAGAACATTCTTTGTGATGTTTGTATTCAACTCACAGAGTTGAACCTTCCTTTGATAGTTCAGGTTTGCAACACCCTTGTAGTAGAATCTGCAAGTGTATATTTTGACCACTTTGTAGCCTTCGTTTGAAACGTCTATATCTTCACATCAAACCTAGACAGAAGCATTCTCAGAAAGTTTTCTGCGATGACTGCATTCAACTCACAGAGTTGAGCAATCCTTTTGATGGAGCAGTTTTGAAACCCTCTTTCTTTGGAATCTGCAAGGGGATATGTGGACCTCTTTCAAGATTTCACTGGAAACGGGATCATCTTCACTTAAGAACTAAACAGAAGCATTCTCGGAAACTACTTTGTGATGTTTGTATTCAACTCCCAGAGTTGAACTTTCCTTTTGAAAGAGCAGCTATGAAACACTCTTTTTCGAGAATCTGCAAGTGGACGTTTGGAGGGCTTTGAGGCCTGTGGTGGAAAAGGAAATATCTTCACATAAAAACTAGAATAGAAGCATTCTCAGAAACGACTTTGTGAGGATGGCATTCAACTCATGGAGTTGAACAATCCTATTGATAGAGCAGATTGGAATCACTCTTTTTGTAGAATCTGCAAATGGAGATTTGGACTGCTTTGAGGCCTCCGGTCGTATAGGAAGGAACTTCATATAAAAGGCAAACGGAAGCATTCTCAGAATATTCTTTGTGATGATGGAGTTTCACTCACAGAGCTGAACATGCCTTTTGATGGAGCAGTTTCCAAATACACTTTTGGTAGAATCTGCAGGTGGATATTTGGAGCTCTCTGAGGATTTCGTTGGAAACGGGAATAATTTCCCATAACTAAACACAAACACTCTGAGAAAGTTCTTCATGATGAATGCATTTAACTCGCAGAGATGAACCTGCCTTTGAGAGTTCAGGTTCGAAACACTCTTTCTGTAGAATCTGCAAGTGGATATTTGGACCACTGGCTGGCCTTCGTTCGAAACGGGTATATGTTCACGTAAAAACTAAAGAGAAGCATTCTCAGAAACTTCTGAGTGATGATTGCATTCAAGTCACACAGTTGAACCCTCCTTTTGATGGAGCAGTTTTGAAACTGTCTTTTTGTAGAATCTGTAAGTGGATACGTGGACCTCTTTGAAGATTTCTTTGAAACGGGAATATTTCCACAGAAAAACTAAACTGAAGCATTCTCAGAAACTGCTTTGTGATGTTTGTGTTCGAGCCACAGAGTTTAACATTGCTTTTCATAGAGCAGTTTTGAAATATTCTTTTCGCAGAATCTGCAAGTGGACATTTGGAGCGCTTTCAGGCCTGTGGTGGAAAAGGCCTGAAAGCCTTTTCCTTTATCTTCACAGAAAGACGAGAGAGAAGCATTGTCAGAAACTTCTTTGTGATGATTGCATTCAACTCACAGAGTTGAAGATTCCTTTTGAAACAGCAGTTTCGAAACACTCTTTCTGTGGGATCCGCAAGGGGATATTTGGACCTCTTTGAAGGTTTCGTTGGAAACGGGATAATCTTCACCTAAAAGCTAAACGGAAGCATTCTCAGAAACTTCTTTGGGATGTTTGCATTCACCTCACAGAGTTGAAATTTCCCTTTGATAGCGCAGCTTTGACACACTTTTTCTACAATGTGCAAGTGGCTATTTAGCGGGCTTGGAGGACTGTGTTGGAAAAGGAAATATCTTCTCCTAAAAACGACATAGAAGCATTCTCAGAAACTGCTCTGTGATGATTGCATTCAACTCCCAGAGTTGAACATTCCTTTTGATAGAGCAGTTTGCAAACACTCTTTTTGTAGAATCTGCAAGTGGAGATTTGGACCGCTTTGAGGCCTGTGGTAGTGAAGGAAAAAACTTCATATAAAAACCAGACGGTAGCACTCTCAGAAAATTCTTTGTGACGATGGAGTTTAACTCAGGGAGCTGAACATTCGTTATGATGGAGCAGTTTCCAAACACACGTTTTGTAGAATCTGCAAGGGGATATTTGGACCTCTCTGAGGATTTCGTTGGAAACGGGATCAACTTCCCATAACTGAACGGAAGCAAACTCAGAACATTCTTTGTGATGTTTGTATTCAACTCCCAGAGTTGAACTTTCCTTTTGAAAGAGCAGCTATGAAACACTCTTTTTCGAGAATCTGCAAGTGGACGTTTGGAGGGCTTTGAGGCCTGTGGTGGAAAAGGAAATATCTTCACACAAAAACCAGATAGAAGCATTCTCAGAATATTCTTTGTGATGATGGAGTTTCACTCACAGAGCTGAACATGCCTTTTGATGGAGCAGTTTCCAAATACACTTTTGGTAGAATCTGCAGGTGGATATTTGGAGCTCTCTGAGGATTTCGTTGGAAACGGGAATAATTTCCCATAACTAAACACAAACACTCTGAGAAAGTTCTTCATGATGAATGCATTTAACTCGCAGAGATGAACCTGCCTTTGAGAGTTCAGGTTCGAAACACTCTTTCTGTAGAATCTGCAAGTGGATATTTGGACCACTGGGTGGCCTTCGTTCGAAACGGGTATACGTTCACGTAAAAGCTAAAGAGAAGCATTCTCAGAAACTTGTGAGTGATGATTGCATTCAAGTCACACAGTGGAACCCTCCTTTTGATGGAGCAGTTTTGAAACTGTCTTTTTGTAGAATCTGTAAGTGGATACGTGGACCTCTTTGAAGATTTCTTTGGAAACGGGAATATTTCCACAGAAAAACTAAACTGAAGCATTCTCAGAAACCGCTTTGTGATGTTTGTGTTCGAGCCGCAGAGTTTAACATTGCTTTTCATAGAGCAGTTTTGAAATATTCTTTTGGCAGAATCTGCAAGTGGACATTTGGAGCGCTTTCAGGCCTGTGGTGGAAAAGGCCTGAAAGCCTTTTCCTTTATCTTCACAGAAAGACGAGAGAGAAGCATTGTCAGAAACTTCTTTGTGATGATTGCATTCAACTCACAGAGTTGAAGATTCCTTTTGAAACAGCAGTTTCGAAACACTCTTTCTGTGGGATCCGCAAGGGGATATTTGGACCTCTTTGAAGGTTTCGTTGGAAACGGGATAATCTTCACCTAAAAGCTAAACGGAAGCATTCTCAGAAACTTCTTTGGGATGTTTGCATTCACCTCACAGAGTTGAACTTTCCCTTTGATAGCGCAGCTTTGACACACTTTTTCTACAATGTGCAAGTGGCTATTTAGCGGGCTTGGAGGACTGTGTTGGAAAAGGAAATATCTTCTCCTAAAAACGACATAGAAGCATTCTCAGAAACTGCTCTGTGACGATTGCATTCAACTCCCAGAGTTGAACATTCCTTTTGATAGAGCAGTTTGCAAACACTCTTTTTGTAGAATCTGCAAGTGGAGATTTGGACCGCTTTGAGGCCTGTGGTAGTGAAGGAAAGAAATTCATATAAAAACCAGACGGTAGCACTCTCAGAAAATTCTTTGTGACGATGGAGTTTAACTCAGGGAGCTGAACATTCGTTATGATGGAGCAGTTTCCAAACACACGTTTTGTAGAATCTGCAAGGGGATATTTGGACCTCTCTGAGGATTTCGTTGGAAACGGGATCAACTTCCCATAACTGAACGGAAGCAAACTCAGAACATTCTTTGTGATGTTTGTATTCAACTCACAGAGTTGAACCTTCCTTTGATAGTTCAGGTTTGCAACACCCTTGTAGTAGAATCTGCAAGTGTATATTTTGACCACTTTGTAGCCTTCGTTTGAAACGTCTATATCTTCACATCAAACCTAGACAGAAGCATTCTCAGAAAGTTTTCTGCGATGACTGCATTCAACTCACAGAGTTGAACAATCCTTCTGATGGAGCAGTTTTGAAACCCTCTTTCTTTGGAATCTGCAAGGGGATATGTGGACCTCTTTGAAGATTTCACTGGAAACGGGATCATCTTCACATAAAAACTAAACAGAAGCATTCTCGGAAACTACTTTGTGATGTTTGTATTCAACTCCCAGAGTTGAACTTTCCTTTTGAAAGAGCAGCTATGAAACACTCTTTTTCGAGAATCTGCAAGTGGACGTTTGGAGGGCTTTGAGGCCTGTGGTGGAAAAGGAAATATCTTCACATAAAAACTAGATAGAAGCATTCTCAGAAACTACTTTGTGAGGATGGCATTCAACTCATGGAGTTGAACAATCCTATTGATAGAGCAGATTGGAATCACTCTTTTTGTAGAATCTGCAAATGGAGATTTGGACTGCTTTGAGGCCTACGGTCGTATAGGAAGGAACTTCAGATAAAAGGCAAACGGAAGCATTCTCAGAATATTCTTTGTGATGATGGAGTTTCACTCACAGAGCTGAACATGCCTTTTGATGGAGCAGTTTCCAAATACACTTTTGGTAGAATCTGCAGGTGGATATTTGGAGCTCTCTGAGGATTTCTTTGGAAACGGGAATAATTTCCCATAACTAAACACAAACACTCTGAGAAAGTTCTTCATGATGAATGCATTTAACTCGCAGAGATGAACCTGCCTTTGGGAGTTCAGGTTCGAAACACTCTTTCTGTAGAATCTGCAAGTGGATATTTGGACCACTGGGTGGCCTTCGTTCGAAACGGGTATATGTTCACGTAAAAACTAAAGAGAAGCATTCTCAGAAACTTCTGAGTGATGATTGCATTCAAGTCACACAGTTGAACCCTCCTTTTGATGGAGCAGTTTTGAAACTGTCTTTTTGTAGAATCTGTAAGTGGATACGTGGACCTCTTTGAAGATTTCTTTGGAAACGGGAATATTTCCACAGAAAAACTAAACTGAAGCATTCTCAGAAACTGCTTTGTGATGTTTGTGTTCGAGCCACAGAGTTTAACATTGCTTTTCATAGATCAGTTTTGAAATATTCTTTTCGCAGAATCTGCAAGTGGACATTTGGAGCGCTTTCAGGCCTGTGGTGGAAAAGGCCTGAAAGCCTTTTCCTTTATCTTCACAGAAAGACGAGAGAGAAGCATTGTCAGAAACTTCTTTGTGATGATTGCATTCAACTCACAGAGTTGAAGATTCCTTTTGAAACAGCAGTTTCGAAACACTCTTTCTGTGGGATCCGCAAGGGGATATTTGGACCTCTTTGAAGGTTTCGTTGGAAACGGGATAATCTTCACCTAAAAGCTAAACGGAAGCATTCTCAGAAACTTCTTTGGGATGTTTGCATTCACCTCACAGAGTTGAACTTTCCCTTTGATAGCGCAGCTTTGACACACTTTTTCTACAATGTGCAAGTGGCTATTTAGCGGGCTTGGAGGACTGTGTTGGAAAAGGAAATATCTTCTCCTAAAAACGACATAGAAGCATTCTCAGAAACTGCTCTGTGATGATTGCATTCAACTCCCAGAGTTGAACATTCCTTTTGATAGAGCAGTTTGCAAACACTCTTTTTGTAGAATCTGCAAGTGGAGATTTGGACCGCTTTGAGGCCTGTGGTAGTGAAGGAAAGAACTTCATATAAAAACCAGACGGTAGCACTCTCAGAAAATTCTTTGTGACGATGGAGTTTAACTCAGGGAGCTGAACATTCGTTATGATGGAGCAGTTTCCAAACACACGTTTTGTAGAATCTGCGAGGGGATATTTGGACCTCTCTGAGGATTTCTTTGGAAACGGGATCAACTTCCCATAACTGAACGGAAGCAAACTCAGAACATTCTTTGTGATGTTTGTATTCAACTCACAGAGTTGAACCTTCCTTTGATAGTTCAGGTTTGCAACAC